>NC_000012.12:45793461-45944976 GCF_000001405.40 Homo sapiens | reverse complement strand
ATACTGTGGCCTTATTCCACCCATTAGTGCAGAAGTCCTTGGGGGAGATGAGATTAAATACCTTGTGGGCCAGTTACTGTAAGCAGTAGCAAAGGAAGACTGTGACAGCAAGAAAGTAATTCACAGTTCCTGAAGGAAGTTGTAGTTTGGCCTCTAGCCTTACTTCTAATTTGAAACTTTAGAAATAAAAGCACCTCTAACATATTTATCTACATGAGCAGTTAAATATTCCTGTCTTCTGTTTTTGTCTGGTACATGATTTTCTAATACACAGGAAGGCTTTGCAGCAGAGCCTGAATAAAAATGACAACATCCATAGTTCTTTGTGACTCCTCCTTGGGGGTTCAGGCTGTTTATTCTGTCCCAAAGAACATCTTACTATGATCTGTTTGTAAGCGAGGAGGTGGGCATTTATTTTCCAGACTAAGTCACAGTGAATTTCCACTTACAGCTAGAACTAGTAAATTAGTGAGCTGTGAAAGAATTAATTTATTGTTTTAAAAAGTGAATAACTTCATTTTTTATGCACTATGAATACCAAGTTGTTGGTTTTTTGTTGGCTTTGTTTTTGATTAGAATTAATATGATCCCTCAGGTTAGATTTACAGATTAACAAACGTTCTGCCTTTGAAATTTTACTATTAAAGTGAAATTGAAGCAAAAGTTGTTTTGATCTCTGGACTTCTGTGGTTAAAAAGGCATTTTTCTTTTGTCAGCTTTAGATATGAAAACAGTCTTTGCTTTTCTATGTCATTGCTGTAGATTAGCATTCTTTTTTTATGAATAGCATTTGCTTGCCAATTCTAAGAACCAATATAAAATTTACTGCTGAGGAAGATTAAATGATGTTACAGATTTTTTCTAGGTAATTTGGCCCACTAAATTATGCTAGTCTTAGTTTTAAGACCACTGACAACTGTAATTTTCTTAAAGTGTTTATCTCTTGCCTGGGCTCATTTTTAGAAGGTGAAATACAGGAAAATCTTAAATTCCATATGCTTCAGTATAGTAAAGCTCATTTATAAGCATCTATGATTAATTCTGATTTGAGATTTTGTTTTACTGTTTAGAATGTGGCATATTAGATTGGATAGCTATTTTAAAATTATAATGAGGAAAAAAACAATTTCTGCCAGAAGGTTAGCATTATCTAAGGCCTGTAACTCAATGCTGTATCTACTTAAGATGCCTGAAGTCGTTTGTTTGGTTTAGGATAGGCAGAAATACTCATTATACTTTGAGTGGGTAATACAAGAGTGCTGATGCTGAGGTAATTATGAGCAAATGTCTTCACTGACCAACCTGGACTGATTTGAAGGGAACTGGGTATGGTAGTTACCCCTTGTCCATGGGGGATATGTTCCAAGTAGATGCCTGAAACTACAGATAGTACCAAACTCTGTGTATATTTTGTTTTTTCCTATATGTACATACCCATGATAAAGTTTAATTTATAAATTAGGTGGTGGAAAGATTAACAATAATGAATAATAATATAGAACAATTATAATAATATACTGTAATAAAAGTTAGGTGAGCGTGGGCTCTCTCAAAATTTCTTATTGTACTTACTCTTCTTACTCTTCTTGTGATGAAGGTAGAGTGACACAAGATTTCATCATGTTATTCAGAATGGTGTACAATTTAAAACTTAAGAATTGTTTGTATCTGGAATTTTCCACTTAATATTTTTGGGCTGCATTTGACCACAGGTAACTGAAACTGCAGAAAGAGACACCATAAATAAGGGGGGACCACTTTACTCATGGATTATCCATTTCGTTATTAATAGTTTTGCTGTGATGTTACTTTTTACTAGGGAAATTTGATAAGTCTAACATGGTCAGTTTTTCTTCCTATATTGAAATAGATTATTTATTGGATGAAGCAGCTTATATTTAGATATTACATTTGATGAAAATTATTCAGGTTTAAATTCTAGATTCATACTCAATACGTACTCAGTATTAGATGTTCATACTCGGAGAAGCAAAAGGGAATTGAGATCACTCATACATTTAACAAATACCTAACTATACTGAGCACAGTGACTCTTAGGGGTATAGTAGTGAACAAAAACAACAAAGTGCTTGTCAATGGGATCTTCTCGTAGACAAACGCAAATATAAATATAAAACAGGCGGTAATAAATGCTTTAAAGAAGAATAAAGCTGGGTAAAAGATTAAAGGGTGATGACATTGTGGAGATGACCGTTTATTTAAAGTGTTAGGGAAACCCTCTTGAATAAAGATATATTTGAGCAGTGACCTTCAAGAAGTAAGAAGTTAAGCCATGAAGATATCTCAGGGAATCTTGTTTGGGGCAAGGGAACAGCAAGTGTAAAAGCCTGAGACAGGAATATTCTTGGAATGTCTCCAAAGAATAGCAAGGAAGTTAGTGTGGCTAGAATGACTGAATTAGGTAGATGGAGGAGAAAGAGTAAGACATAAGGGGAGATCATTTAGGGCCAATGTGAGCTAGGGAGTGTTTTCAGGAGTAACGTGATCTGGTACATTTTAAAAGGATTACTCTGGCTGTGAAGGGAAGAAAATCATAGACGAATAAGAGTAGAAGTGGAAATTGACTATTTAGGTGGCTTTTTTCTTTTTTGTTCTTTTTATTTTAGGTGACGTTTTTCTAGGCCACAAATTGTAGTGGCTTGGGCCAAGGAGATATTAGTGGAGATGATGATAAGTGGTTCCATTCTGTATGTACCATTGATCCTTGAAAACACAAGAGTTAGGGGTACCCCTGCACAGTCAGAAATCAGTGTATTACTTTTGACTGCCTCAGAACTTGACTACTAATAGCCTCCTGTTGACTGGAAACCTTACAGATAACATAAACAGTTGATAAACACATTTTATATGTTATATGTATTATATACAGTATTCCTACAATAAAGTAAGCTGGAGAAAGAATGTTATTAAGAAATCATAAGGATGAGAAAATACATTTACTGTTCATTGAGCAGAAGTGGATCATCATAAAGGTCTTTGTCCTTGTCTTCACATTGAGTGGGCTAAGGAAGAGAAGGGGTTGGTCTTGCTGTCTTGGATGGCAATGGCAGAAAAGGTGGAAGGGGAGGCAGGAGAGGCAAGCACACTCAGTGTAACTTTTATTGAAAAACATTCATGAATAAGCAGACCCATGGAGTTCAAACACATGTTGTTCAAGGGTCAGCTGCATCGTACTTGAAAGATGAAGCTAACAGGATTCATTGATGGATTGGATATAGGCTACAAGAAAGAAGGAAGTCAGGGTTGACTACAAGGTCTTGACCTAAGGAACTGGTAAAATAGGAGTTGCCAGTTACTGAAATGGGGAAGGCTGGTGGGAGAACGTTTGGGAGGGTATAATGAAGAATTCTCTTTTGGAAGTAGAATGGTGGTGGTTTTTGGGAGCGGGGAAGATAGGGAGATGTTTGTCAAGGGATTCAGAGGTTCAGTTATGCAAGATGAATAAATTCTGGATACCTAATGTATAGATGTACAGCAGTGTGGATATAATTAATAATGGTGTATTGTACACTTGAAATTTAGATCTTGTGTTCTCACTACAAGAAAAAGGGAGAATGGTAACTGTGAGGTGATGCATATGTTTGGTTTGTGGTGATTATTTTCACAATGTGTACGTATATCAGAACATTAAGTAGTATACCTTAAATATATACAATTTTTGTCAATTGTACCTCAATAAAGATGACAGGCAAATTCGTTTTTCGATAAGTAAGGTGTCTACGACCATAGAGATGCTCTGAAGAAATTGTATATTTGCATTTCATGTACAAATAAGATCTACTCATCTTCATGTTATTTTAATGGTGAACAGTTTGTGTTGATATATGTTTATTTATGCTTGACTCCTCAGTTAAATTGATGGTTTCTTCCAGTTGTCATTTCTTTTCTCACTCTTGAGTTCAGGCAGAATGTTTAAGACTAATGATGATCAGAAATAAGATTGAGGCAACGTGGCGAAACCCACCTCTACAAAAAATACAAAAATTAGCCAAGTGTGGTGATACACACCTGTAGTCCCAGCTACTCGGGAGGCTGAGGTGGGAGGATCACCTGAGCCTGGGGAAGTTGAGGCTGCAGGTGAGTCATGATCATGCCACTGCACTCCAGCGTGGGCGCCAGAGTAAGACCCTTTCTCAAAAGAATAAATAAAAGGAAATAAGACTGAAAAGGAAGATTGCTATGCAAGTAGACACAATTAAAAGTTTTTTTCATTGAGATACAATGCGGTGAAACTGTTTTAGATAAACTAACCTGGTTGAAGTATTCCAAAAGGATGGGAAGCCAAGTAATCTGTTAGAAAGTTTCTAAAGATGTCAAAAGAGGAGGTTAATAAGATAACTCTGTCTTCTGAGATTATGTATTAACATCATTTTGTAAAGTCTTTTTTAAAAGGCTAAATGTCTTGTCCGAGATCACATTGCTAATAATTGGAGCCACCAGAATTTGATCCAGTCTTCTGACTCTATATCCAATGCCACTTTCTACTACAAAATAATACCAAAGCATGATATTGTTAGTGTTACCGACCTTAATTAAGCCTCTCACTTTATGGTTGTCTGCAACCTTTGTAACTGAAATTATTGCCATTCTGGTGGATCTTGTTTGGATGTACTTTTGAGCTCAAAAATAATTTTTAATGTAAAATTAGTTCTCTTTCATTTTGATAGCAGAATGTCTGCTCCCCACTTATCAGTTAACTGTGATTTTTTTTTCCTTCAGGTTAAAGGTCATAAATCATAGCTGTAAGATTAGAACCTTTAAGAGTTTTTGCCTTTAATTTGGACATTTCTTTTGTTTTTAATTTTTCTTTTAATTTTCACATTTCTTATGAGGTTTCTTAGACAGTATTTATTAACAAACTGACTAATTAGAAGACTAAGAGAACCTGTAAGTGTAACTTGGAATTATTGCAAAGTTTAGGGGCAGAAATGAGTCTGTCACGCAACAGAAAAGACAGCTTGTATCCTTAAATGTTGACATTTGATGACTAAGCAAGGAACCAAGAGACAAAGTCACGAAGGTAGAGTTAGTGGGGGATTGTGCAAATTGAATACATCTTTATTTACCCAGTTACACTGAACAGAAACCATGATATAGCCTAAGGATAAT
The DNA here is from genome assembly GCF_000001405.40 of Homo sapiens. NCBI lineage: Eukaryota > Metazoa > Chordata > Mammalia > Primates > Hominidae > Homo > Homo sapiens. Next base: position 45,939,846 of record NC_000012.12, on the reverse strand, counting down.
TTAAATTTCTTTTTATAAAAGAACTACTTGAGAAACTGTTGTCTGTCTCTTTATCTAGGATTGATTGGTTAGATTTTAGAAGCAACTCTACTTAGCTTAGCTTCTTGTTTTCTTATTTATTTATTTGTTTATTTGAGATGGAGTTTCGGTCTTGTTGCCCAGGCTAGAGTGCAATGGCACGATCTCAATGGCACGATCTCGGCTCACTGCAACCTCCGCCTCCTGGGTTCAAACAATTCTTCTGTCTCAGCCTCCCAAGTAGCTGGGATTACAGGCATGCGCCACCATGCCCAGCTACTTTTGTATTTTTAGTAGAGACAGGGGAATTTCACCATGTTGGTCAGGCTGGTCTCAAACTCCTGACCTCAGATGATCTGCCCGTCTCGGCCTCCCAAAGTGCTGGGATTACAGGCGTGAACCACTGCACCTGGCCAAACTTCTTTAATTTCTTAAAGTTTTGTGAAGCAGGATGGGACTGTTCTTTAAACATAGGTGTGTGACTTTCTATCTGAAGTCATTTGTTATACAGTAATCAAACTAATGAATAGAGTTTGTGAAGTTGCGAATTCTTATATCTTGATTAGAGATTATTATAGCCTATAAATATAGTATACTATTAGTTAAAACTTCAGCAGGTCTAATAGATGGTTTTACTGGAAGTCAAGCCCCTTGAGTTTTGTACAGTTTTTACCATTAAAACACCTGTGACTTTAGTAAAATTATATAAACTGTCTAGTTTTCTCATATAATGAAGATGATGTTGCCACACTAGAGGTATAGTGAAAGGTTAGACAGCAAACCTATTAGCAAATTTGTTGAGGAAATATCACTTTCTTTCTTCTGTCATACTAGATAACTGAATTATACATTTTTGTTTTTAATCTCCTTTATGTTCACTTTGTTTCTTGGAATGAACATTAATCTTTGGTTTGGGATAGTAGTTTATAATTGATATAGTTTACAGACAGGATCTCCCTTTCAGGCATTTCTTAATGTAGTACTTCTTTAAGTACATACTAGATCCATCTAATTATGTCTTTATTAAACTTTGGAATCAATTAGTCAGACTTTAATTGGATGCCTGCCAAGTACTGGGTTCTAAGCTCAGAGCCTTTATTATACTTGTTTGTATCGTACAAAAGGATGTTTTCATGAAACATCCTTTCGGATTAGTGTTTCATGAAACATGTTTAGGGATATGCTGAATTAACATAAATAAAACAAGGTTCTAGTTAAGCATAGCAGATTGAGTACTTGTTTAATGCTGTGATCCCTCTCATCCCAAATCTCTACTAAAATGACAATAAAGGAATGAAAGAAAAGTGTGTTTTTTGTTTGTTTGTTTGTTTGTTTTTTTGAGATGCAGTCTCGCTCTTGTCACCCAGGCTGGAGTACAGTGACACAATCTCAGCTTACTGCAACCTCCGCCTCCCAGGTTCAAGTGATTCTACTGCCTTAGCCTCCTGAGTAGCTGGGATTACAGGTGCCCGCCATCATGCCCGGCTAATTTTGGTATTTTTAGTAGAGCAGGGTTTCACCATGTTGGCCAGGCTGGTCTCGAACTCCTGACCTCAGGTGATCCGCCAACCTCGGCCTCCCAGAGTGCTGGGATTACAGTTGTGAGCCACTGTGCCTGGCCAGAAAGAAGAGTTTTAAGCCACAAAGTTTAAGCCACAAAGACAAGAAAGCTGGAGAGAGGGGGACAGCACATAAGTGTCCACAAAATAGAAAGTAAAACAGTATGAGGGGGATGGTAAATTGTCTTAGCAGAAAGCTGATACATAGACATTTCATGGGAAGAATGGAGTTAAGAATCTCAAGACAGTACACATACCATCAAACCTTAGCAAGTTGAGTTTGGAGGCCTCCATTATCTGTGAAGGCAGAGATATGGGGTGGTTTTGGAAAACAGAATTGGTTAAAAATCTTTAGATCCTGAAGATTCCTGGCTGTGGGTAGAGGAAGGGGAGTACCCAATGAAAGACTGGAGATTTACACTCTAAAATGAGTATTTGAACCAGATTTAAACTTTAGCATAAATGATGGTACAGGAAACAACAGAGAGGGAAATTAAGTCAAATGATGAGGCTTCTAGTCCTCTACCTAAGAGCATTTTTCAAAGCACTGGCAGTCTTGATTATTATAATTTTCCAAAGTAGGAAATAAGGGACATCTTTTGGAAAACTGACTTGCCCAAAAGAAAAGACTTAAAGATAATGTCATTTGAGAGTCTCCCAATGAAGTAACCAGATGTCTGCTTGATCACCCTACAGTGAAACACATTAGCTGAAAGGCTCTGACCACCCATCTACACCATTTTCAATCAATATTTTAGTGTCCAGCAAACAATCAAGGATCTCCAGATGTTTGAGGAAAATCAACATAATAGAGATCAAAACAAAGACAAAAGCAACCTGATGGGACAGACCCAATGCTGAAAAATAGGGAATAACTTTAAAAAACTTAATATCCTCAAAGCCTGAAAGAAGGGATATTTTATCAATGATACAAGAAAAATAATATTTAAGAAAAAGCTTTCAGAAGTTAAAAATATTACAGCAAAAATACAAAAATTCAACAGGAGTAGAAGATAAGTTCTTAAGTCTCAAAGTAGGACTAAAAAAGAGATGATAGGATATTCATTTAAGAGATTCAATATCGAATAATAAAATTTCAGGAAGGAAAAATGCAAAAATTTATTTTTAAAAAAGTAATACAAAGGAAATTTTTTCCGTAATAGTAGAGCACAGGTGTCCAGATATGAAGAAATAATATAATACTTAGTAAATGAAAAAAAAATCATACCAAATACTTCATAAAGTTCTAGAAGTCTGAGGATGACAAGAGAGAGAGTAAAAACAGACCACATAGAGGATTGGGGTTACAGAGTGTCATCAACAATAGTTGGAGTAGTGAAGCAATGCCTTGAAAACTCTAGGGAAAATAATTACTAACCTAGACAATTCTATAACCTATCAAACTATCCATCGTGCACTAACTCAGAATTCCCACCCTTTTCCACTTCTGCTGGAGGATGTATGTATATACTTCACTAAATGAGATAGTAAATGGAAGAACAATGTGAGATTCAGAAAATGAGTTCCAACTCAGGAAAAGATTAAACAGGACAAAGAGGATTATTGGGATAATGACAAAGGACAATCCCAAAATGACTATTGAACAGCAGCTTTGAGAGTTACCAGTTCATATTGGACCAGGACAAAGAAAGAGTTTTGCCAGGAGAGTGGGGAACAAACCTTATGGATGAGTTGTTGTGTTTGAGTGTATTAAACTCAGATTTATACTTTTGTTGTAGTTAGCTAAATTAATGATGGATAATAAGGAAGAAAAGGAAAAGAGAAAACAAAGACATTATTAACCCTAGGAAAATACCTGAATGAAGCTGGCTGGGCGTGGTGGCTCATGCCTGTGATCCCAGCACTTTGGGAGGCCGAAGTGGGTGGATCACCTGAGGTCAGGAGTTCAAGACCAGCCTCACCAATATGGTGAAACCCCATCTCTACTAAAAATACCAAAATTAGCCGGGCGTGGTGGTGTGCGCCTGTAGTCCCAGCTGCTCAGGAGGCCGAGACAGGAGAATTGCTTGAACCTGGGAGGCAGAGGTTGCAGTCAGCCGAGATTGTGGCACTGCACTCCAGCCTGGCCAACAAAGCGAGATTCTGTTTCAAAAAAAAAAAACAAAAAAAACCACACATAGAGTAGTATAAGGGTGTTATTTAGTAATAAGTAAATGTTAGAAGAAACAGCCAAAGGATTTGATGAGTGCTTTGGGGAAGCAGAAATCAAGAGTGGGTATTTCCATAATTTTTCTTTATAAGTTTGGAAGTACTGTTTGACATCTTAAAGTATGTACATGCATTACTTTGATAAAAATTAAATGAAAAGGCGTATCACTGCCCACCAAAAACAGACAAGTAGGGTGGATTTGTGAAACGATCTTCAGGAAACCACAATTTAGACAAATTCACCAGTATCGAATACTTTAGAGATTGCCATTGAAGCTGTTGAGTAATTACCTGAGAATTACCCAGAAATATGTGAAACAGCTTTTGAACTGGATTTTCACATGTAGCATTGCTCAGAGAAAACTAACAGTTCTTTCAGTAGAGAGCATTTTATCTAATGATGGCTTTCTGAGATAGGTTTCCAAATGAAAGAATGCTATGTAAACACTACATACTCGTTAAGTGTTGAGTGAATGCAACCTGAAACAAAACAACTCAGCATCCTTAGGGCATAAAAGACACTATGTAGGTATAGCACAGCAATTCTATGTCTAGCTGAAGGAACATGGTTATTTCTAAGAGTGTTATCTGTGTACCTACCACACATTTTTACTTCTTGCCTCTTAAGCCATTTTAAAAAATCAGCGTATCATCTTTTAGATACAGATTTTCAAAGGGGTAAGGCAGTAAGTTCCGGAACTCAGCCTGTTCGTCTTCCACTAACATTGAAATTACATTTGTTACAGTAGTTCTGAGAGGGACTTGTGCAAAACCAAACAGCTGTTGTATAATAACTAAAAAGGAAATTAGTATGCTATTAAGTAGAAAGTAGGCTATTACCAACTGAACTAACAGAAGTAAACCAAAATACATATGATCTTGCAGTGCAGGAAACAAGCCTCCTAGTTAGTGTGATTTATTTTGAACAATGTCAATAGGCCCTTTGTGAGGCAAGCAAGGGGGAAAATTAAAAGGCAGTTGTCATATGCACTGTGGACAAGTCATAAGCAATGCAGCCACCAACGTTGTAACAGAAAGCTGTTTCAGTCAGCACATCTACTTTTCCATCTTAGTATAAAATTGGAAGGAAAGAACATACCTGAAGTGGGTGCCAGTGGCTAAATGGTAATTTATGGTTAACAAGAGCTGATGGCCCCAGGCCACCTAGTCAGCCCCTGCTTGAGATAGCTACCTGTTTTCTAGATGATAGCTGGAAAAGAAATGTTAAGTGTATTATTGATATTAAATAGCTTGACTTCTTGTGTATACCTTTTGTTACAAGATACTTTAAGTTTGCATAAGGTAGCAGAAAATGTTGATTAGAATTTTAACTCATATGTTGTAAACATAGCAGGTTTGACATACTTCACCCAGTTTCTGTATTGTGGCCTTTTATATTTTACTTGTAGTAATAGCTTAACAAGGTAAGATGAAATCAGCATTTGGGAAAATTGTGTAAAAAATTGTGTATTATTTGAAATACAGCTTTTCTACGTATTTCAACCCTTGCCAATGTGCTGGTATCGATGCTGGTTTACAGCCTTTTTAATAAAAATTAATACAAGGTAACCAAGTCCTTTTATGTCTTTGTACAGGAAACTCTTTATACAGTGAAACAGGAGGAAAGAAAAATGCAGCAATAAAGATAAATAAGGTTTGTTGAAACCAAGAAAAATCTTTTTCTTAGATGATAACACTTTAGGGTTATTTAGTCCATAAATAACCAGTGCTTCAGGTGTATCAAAATATTTAAGTATAACTATTATTTACCTGTTATTTATTTGCTGTTTCACTAACTACTTTTTACTTTTCTAGCCTCAGAGATCAAATTGGAGTACAAATCAGTGCTTCAGAAATTTTTTCTCCAATATGTTTTCTTCTGTTAGCCACTCTGGAGAATCTTCCTTTACCTATAGAGCTTATTGGTTAGTATTTTCTACTTTTAATTTATGCTGTTTATACTTGATGTTTAATAATTATTAACTTTTGCTAGAAATTTAAACTCTGGGCCCAATAAAAACTGAAAGGCCCACCTGGTTGTTTTGCTTTAGTTTTTTTTTGGGCGGGGGGGAAGGTAAACTAGCTCTAGCAAAGAGAAAACCTGTTAATTTTGGGAGCTTCTCTATTGTGCAGTGATTGCCTATGCCAGTGTGCTTTGTTTTCATTAATAAGTTGTTCTATATAAGCTGTTTATATGATTGAGAAGTAGCTTATTTATTAGCTTGTGGGGATGTTACCTAAAGAAGAACCCTTTTACAGCTGATCCATTCATCTTTGAATCCTAGTGACTGGCATGTAGATACTAAGTTGATATTTATGGAATTTGAAGATTAAATTGAGGTTTTAAAATCACGTACAGTTAGTTGAGCCAGCAGCACAGAATACGATTGTGTGATTTAATTTTAGAACTTGGCAAGGTACCAAGAAAAAAATTATGTCTAAGTAGGCTTTTGAAAAGCTGAACTATACCCATTTTTGGTTGCAGTCATCTTACCCTACTTTATTTTCTTCTTTTGTCTTAGGCTTAGTTTCAAGTAGGAAACTATTGCACCTAGAATTTCTTCCTTTCAATAATGAGGATATTACTCTGACTTGACTTTATTTAAAAAATTCTGTCACTTAAGATAGAAATTCAAGGGTTATTTTTAACAATCATATAAATACAACTCTGATTTGCAATATAAAAATTGTACTTATTTTAGGAATGAGTTTATTTTGAAAGTGTTTAAATAGAAAAGAGCTCACATGCTTGTAAGTGTGATTCATAATGCCAGGTACAAAAACGACTGCTATTCTTTGTACAACCTAATTGTTTTTTTGAACCTAAAATTGTGAGATTCTGATGAAGGTCTAAAATTTATCTTTTAGTACAGAATTTATAGAAGCCAGTGAAATCAGTGCATTGATTAGGCAGAAGAGACATGAACTGGAATTGTCATGGTTTCCTGATACATTACCTGGAATTGGAAGGTAAAAATAAAAAATTATTTACTCAGGTGTTTACATGCTAACATGAACAAGATAGCATTAGTACTTAAGTACAAGGGTACCTTATTCAATTGTTATTTTCCTAAGGAAGTTTTGTGCAAATTAAACTTTGGTGTTTCAAATGCCCAATAAAGATTGCTATATAAAGGACCCCTTAGAAAGTAAAGAATCCTTAATTTATCTGTTTAACAAGTATAGCTGTGTATATGCTAGATTTATTTAAAAGGGAGAGAACCCGAATATTAAGATTTATTGTTAGTAATACATCTGTCATCATTCCTCTACTCTTCTCCCATTCCAGTCTTACCTGCGTGCTGTCCGCTGAATCACGCTTTTACCATATTCCTCTCCTCAAAAATGTTTTTCTAAATAACTATTTGATCAAGTGCCTACTCTACCCTGACACTCATGACTTTCTGTAATCTAGTTTTTTATTTCTTAGTTTATTCTTGAAGCTACTAAGATGGTGCTAGATAAATAATATATACTTAAATCAAGCTCCTAAGTAAAGATTAGGGTCGCTGCCTGAGTTTTATATTAATTCCTATAACATATTATGACTTTATTTTATATGTCACTATAATATAGTTCTGTATAGGGCATTCACCCTCTAAGAATGATGGCAGAACATAATAGAAGTCAGATGAAGAATTCCAGATGTATGTACTATGAAACCCTTCCTTATAGTTACATATTTTTATACATGTACAAGTTACATTTTTTTTCCCATGCTTCTCCTACTCCAGAATCTTACCTTATATTGAATCAGATAGTCTTTTGTTAGGAGACCTAAATGAATAAGAAAAAGAAAGCCAAGAAGTGGTTTGGGTTTGAATGGAGAAAATTTGAAGGAGGGGGTCTTAACAGGTCTCTAGGGACACTGAGAACTTTGAAGAGCCATCACCAGGTCGAGGAATTTTAGAATATAACATAGTGGTATAAATCAGTTCCTTGGTTGCCTGGAAAGGAGGGAGAAGGATACAAAGGAGTGTGAGGACACTTTCTAGGGGGGCAGAAATGTTCTCTTTCTTGATTGGGGTGGTGGTTAACACAGACATATATATATATATATGCACACACTTTGGTAAAAAGTTAGCAAATGTACGCTTAAAGTCTGCATTTTATGTTGAATTACACCTCAAAGTTGATTTTATTTTTTTAGAGTAGTGAAGAACATGATGAAAGCTGGAAAAATTCTTGACAAAATACTACATAAATTATTTCAAAGAGAAACATCTGTGTTAAGTTGCTTTCATCTTTTCTTTGCCATGAATTTATCAGAAAAACATACTTTTAAAGGTTTTTTTCTGAATTTTAGCCAATTGGTAGCTATCTTTAGACAAGGAGTAACCTTGAATTTACATTTTTAGCTATTTGGGCAAAAAACATTTAAGCACTGTATTTTAATATTGCTAACCTGATTTAGAGAATTAATACTTTTAAATTGGTGGTTTAATTTTTTAAACCATTTAAACAAAAATGTCTTTATTATGTTTTCAGAATTGGTTTTATACCCTGGAATGTTGAAACAGAAGTCCTTCCTCTCATTTCTTCTGTGTTGCCAAGAACTATTTTTCCAACAAGTACCATATCTTTCGAACATTTTGGTAAAGTTTGTGAAATCATTTTCTATTTTAAAAATTATTATTATTAGTTTCTTCCAGTTTCATAAAAATGTGTGTTTGATGACTTAGAAAAGCTGTAAAGTAAGGCATAGTAACTTGTAAATACGTCTATAAATATTTGGACAATGACTTAACTTTAGAATTGCTTCAACTAGAGTGTATGTATATATAGATAGATAGATACATAGTCTCTCCATATATCTATATACACACACAATGGAATATTATTCTGCCACAAAAAGAAGGAAATCTTGTTTGTGCCAACGTGGATGAACCTGGAGGACATTAGGCTAAGTGAATAAGGCAGGCACAGAAAGGCACATAACCACATGATCTCACTTATATGTGGAATCTAAAAAAGTTGATCTCGTAGAACTAGATTGTAGATTAGGGGGTGGGGTAGGTGTGGTGGGGTGGAGGTTGTTGGTCAGAGGATACAGTTTCAGCTGGATAGAATAAGTTCTAAAGATCAATTGTGAAACGTGATGACTATAATAATACAGTTGACCCTTGAACAACATAGGTTTTAACTGGGTGGCGACATTATACATGAATTTTAAAAAATAAATATATCGGAAAATGTTTGGAGATTTGCAACACTGAAAAAACAGAAAAATCGCATAACCTATAAATAGTGAAAAAAATTAAGAAAAAGGTATGTCATTAATGTATAAAATATATGTAGGTACTAGTCTATTTCATCATTTACTACCATAAAATATATACAAATCTATGATAACAAGTTAAAATTTATCAAAACATATACACACTCAAACCACATGGTTCCACCATTTGCAGTCATAAGAAATGTAAACAGCTGTAAAGATACAGTATTAAATCATAGCTGTGTAAAATTAAATATAGTACGTATTTACCAGTGTAACAATTTTTGTGGCCGCCACCTGTTGCTATTCTGGTGTACTCAAGTGTTGTGAATGTCTGGGAGGTTGAGGCTACAATGAGCCATGATTGCACCACTGCACTCCAGCCTGTGCAACAGAACAACAGCCTGTCTCAAAAAAAAAAAAAAACAAAAAAAAAACAAAACACAACGCAAAACCTGGTTTAATGTAATCATCTCCATGTGAGCATTTGTCTTTCTAATAGATTGCATATCACAGTAAAAAGTGATCTCTTGCAGTGCATGCATATTTTTCATAGTGTTTAGTGCAATACTGTAAACCTTGAGTAACACCTTTGGGACCCACATAAGTGCCATTAGTGATGTAGGAAGTGCTCCCAAGAAGCAAAATTATGGCTTTATAAGAAGAAGTTTAATTCCTTGATAGGAACAGATTGAGATCTATAGCTGCAGTTGCCTGCCATTTCAGACAGATGATTCATCTTGTAAACAAATGATATAAACTTAGGGTATCAATAAATACAGTACAGCATTATAATGTATTTTCTCTTATGATTTTTGTAATAACCTTTTCTTTAGCTTCTTTTATTGTAAGAATACAGTATGTAACACATAACATAAAAAATATATTAATTCACTGTTATCAGTAAGGAGTCTGGTGAATAACAGTTAAGTTTTGGGGAGTAAAAACTGTTTCAATTTTTGACTGTGTTGGGGGTTGGTGCTCCTAATCCCTGTGTTGTTAAAGGGTCGACTATATTGTATTTTTGAAAATTGCTAGAGAGTGGACGTAAAGTGTTCTCACTAAACAAATTATAACTATGTGAGGTAGTGCATATATTAAGTAGCTAGATTTGGTCATTCCACAATGTATATGTACTTCAAAACATCATGTTGTACATGAGAAACACAGTTTTATCTGTTAGTCAGTTTTAAAAATAAAAAATATTCCAACTAGAAACTCTGTTGTAGTTTTTGAAATTACAACTTGGAGGCTTTGAGGAACTGATTAGAAGTCTCCTTTCTGTTTCAGGCTTTCATATCCAAACCATAGATCTTTAGAAGTAACATCTGTTAATTAATTATTAATAAATAGTTTGAGTCTTTATTAATTCATGGATAACTTGACCATTTTCTCTCTCCTTTTGCTTAGATAATCCCAGATCATGGCCGGGCACAGTAGCTCACGCCTGTATTCCCAGCAGTTTGGGAGGCCGAGGCAGGCAGATCACTTGAACTCAGGAGTTTGAGACCAGCTTGGGCAACATGGCAAAACCCTGTCTCTATTAAAAATACAAAAATTAGCTGGGCATGGTAGTGCATGCCTGTAGTCCCAGCTACCTGGGAGGCTGAGGTGGGAGGATCGCTTGAGCCTGGGAGGTTGAGGCTTCTGTGCGCGATGATTGCTCCAGTGATCACGCCATTGCACTCCAGCCTGGGTGACAGAGTGAGACCCTGTCTCCAAAAAAAAAAAAAATTAAGCAAGTAGCAGTTACAAGACCAAAAGTTATTTTCCTTTTTTTTTTTCTCTATAAAATTGCCCATTTGGACCAAATCTAGTTATAACTTATTTCAGTGTCATTAAGAAAGTTGATGAATAAGTCATATTACTCAGATGTTAGTAGCTATGCATTTATTAATAGTTTTATTTATAAGTATTTAGTTTCACTCTGTTGCAGACTATTTTATGCTAAAATTAGCTAAAGCCAAATTACTATTTCTTAAAACATATTTTTTACTTTTTTTTTTTTTTTAAATATTATTAGGTACTTCTTGCAAGGGATATGCATTAGCACATACTCAAGAAGGGGAAGAAAAGAAGCAAACTTCTGGTACATCAAATACCAGAGGATCAAGACGAAAACCTGCAATGACAACTCCTACAAGGAGGTCTACACGTAACACAAGAGCTGAAACAGCCAGTCAGTCTCAGAGATCCCCAATATCAGACAATTCTGGGTGTGATGCCCCAGGTAACAGTAATCCATCTTTAAGTGTTCCCTCTTCAGCTGAGTCAGAAAAGCAAACAAGACAGGCTCCAAAACGGAAGTCTGTAAGAAGAGGAAGAAAACCACCTTTACTGAAAAAGAAACTTCGGAGCTCTGTAGCTGCCCCTGAAAAATCATCTTCCAATGATTCAGTAGATGAAGAAACAGCAGAATCTGACACATCACCTGTGTTAGAAAAAGAGCACCAACCAGATGTAGACAGTAGTAACATTTGTACTGTGCAGACTCATGTAGAAAACCAGTCTGCTAATTGCTTGAAAAGTTGCAATGAGCAAATAGAAGAAAGTGAGAAGCATACTGCAAATTATGATACAGAGGAAAGAGTAGGATCTTCATCTTCTGAGTCTTGTGCTCAAGATCTTCCTGTGCTAGTTGGTGAGGAAGGGGAAGTTAAAAAACTCGAGAATACAGGTATAGAGGCTAATGTTTTGTGTTTGGAAAGTGAGATTTCTGAAAATATTCTTGAAAAAGGAGGTGATCCATTGGAAAAGCAAGACCAGATATCTGGACTTTCACAATCAGAGGTAAAGACAGATGTATGTACAGTTCATCTTCCAAATGATTTTCCTACATGTTTAACATCTGAAAGCAAAGTGTACCAACCTGTATCTTGTCCCCTAAGTGACTTATCTGAGAATGTAGAGTCAGTGGTTAATGAAGAAAAAATAACAGAGAGTTCCCTAGTAGAAATTACTGAACATAAAGATTTTACACTAAAAACAGAGGAGCTTATAGAGAGCCCCAAGTTAGAATCTTCTGAGGGTGAAATTATACAGACAGTGGACAGACAATCTGTTAAGAGCCCAGAGGTTCAATTGCTTGGGCATGTTGAAACTGAAGATGTAGAAATAATTGCAACATGTGATACTTTTGGGAATGAAGATTTCAATAATATTCAAGACTCTGAAAATAACTTACTAAAAAATAATCTTCTGAACACCAAATTGGAAAAATCTTTAGAAGAAAAGAATGAATCGCTGACCGAACATCCTAGATCTACAGAGTTGCCTAAAACACACATTGAACAGATTCAGAAGCATTTTAGTGAGGACAACAATGAAATGATACCTATGGAGTGTGATTCATTTTGCAGTGACCAAAATGAATCTGAAGTTGAACCATCTGTAAATGCTGATCTTAAACAAATGAATGAAAATTCTGTGACACACTGTTCTGAAAATAATATGCCGTCTTCTGATCTTGCGGATGAAAAGGTTGAAACTGTTTCTCAACCATCTGAAAGCCCAAAAGATACCATAGATAAAACCAAAAAGCCTCGTACTCGAAGATCTAGATTTCATTCTCCATCTACAACTTGGTCACCCAACAAAGACACTCCACAAGAAAAGAAGCGGCCCCAGTCTCCATCTCCCAGAAGAGAAACTGGGAAAGAAAGCAGGAAGTCTCAATCACCATCTCCTAAGAATGAGTCAGCCAGAGGCCGGAAAAAATCCCGTTCTCAGTCCCCAAAAAAGGATATTGCAAGAGAAAGGAGGCAATCTCAGTCTCGGTCTCCAAAAAGGGATACTACTAGGGAAAGCAGAAGATCTGAATCACTGTCCCCAAGAAGAGAAACTTCTAGAGAGAACAAAAGATCTCAGCCAAGAGTGAAAGATTCTTCCCCAGGAGAAAAATCCAGGTCCCAGAGCAGAGAACGAGAAAGTGATAGAGATGGGCAGAGGAGAGAGAGAGAAAGGAGAACCAGAAAGTGGTCTAGGTCCAGATCTCATTCTAGGTCCCCCTCAAGATGTAGAACAAAAAGTAAGAGTTCATCATTTGGTAGAATTGACAGAGATAGTTACTCTCCCCGGTGGAAGGGAAGATGGGCAAATGATGGTTGGAGATGTCCACGAGGAAATGATCGGTACAGAAAGAATGACCCAGAGAAACAGAATGAAAATACAAGAAAAGAAAAAAATGACATCCATCTAGATGCTGATGATCCAAATTCTGCTGACAAACATAGAAATGACTGTCCCAATTGGATAACAGAAAAAATAAACTCTGGGCCTGATCCAAGAACCAGAAATCCAGAAAAGTTGAAAGAGTCTCATTGGGAAGAAAATAGAAATGAAAATTCAGGAAATTCTTGGAATAAAAACTTTGGTTCTGGTTGGGTATCTAACCGTGGTAGAGGCAGAGGCAACCGTGGCAGAGGCACTTACAGAAGTAGTTTTGCCTATAAAGATCAGAATGAAAATCGGTGGCAAAATCGAAAACCCCTCTCAGGGAATTCAAACAGTTCAGGGAGTGAATCTTTCAAGTTTGTGGAACAGCAATCCTATAAGCGAAAAAGTGAACAGGAGTTCTCATTTGATACACCAGCAGATAGATCTGGATGGACATCTGCATCCAGCTGGGCCGTGAGAAAGACTTTGCCAGCAGATGTACAAAACTACTACTCACGACGAGGCAGAAATTCTTCAGGTCCACAGTCTGGATGGATGAAACAAGAGGAGGAAACATCTGGACAGGGTAATGTATTCTTGTTGGTTTATTGATACTGTTTTATTTGAAGAATTATAAATTTAATATGTTATTTGTATGAGTTGAAATGATCCTTATTTGTAGTTTTTATAATAAGCTGAACCTTAGTTGTTTACAAGTCACTTAGCATTATATAAATATATATACACGTACGTTTATCTACATAAGTATATTATTAATGCTACCTCTGCTCCAAACCTTGCCAAAGACTTAAATATTTTCAGCACTGTTTGCTACAATAGAAGAGTTTGGGATATTCCTATGCAGGATTTAACCTCTAATTTGTTTATTTCAGATATGTACACTTTTAATTTTTTTGATAATTGTTCTCATACAAATAAAATAAGCCATTGTTTTAATAGTAAAGATTTATATTTCCTTGTTTTTTTTCTTGTTAAGAACATTGCAAGATAAAGGCTGTTGAAGATGTAAAAATTGAATAACCTTATAATTTAGTAGTTAAATTTTATGTGATTTTTTTTTTTAACTAGTCAGTTTCTTGAGCTACTGATTGTTGATGTATGTTTTGCATGAACTTATTCTTAAAAATATTTTCAGGTGAATGTTCGTTTTGTTTTTTGAGATGGAGTTTCTCTGTTGTTGCCCAGGCTGGAGTGCAATGGCATGATCTTTGCTCACTGCAACCTCCACCTCCTGGGTTCAAGCAATTCTCCAGCCTCCTGACTAGCTGGGATTACAGGCGCTCACCACCACGCCTGGCTAATTTTTGTATTTTTTTAGTAGAGACGGGGTTTCACCATGTTGGCCAGGCTGCTCTCGAACACCTGACCTCAGGTGATCTGCCCGCCTTGGCCTCCCAAAGTGCTGGGATTACAGGCTTGAGCCACCGTGCCTCGCCAAATGTTTTCTTTCATTAGAAAGTCAGTCCACATTATTTAGAAATGACAGGATTAAATTAAGCAATTGGAGATTGGTATTGGTATACTGAGCCTATTAATTGCTATTTAATTTTACTGTAACCAGTGGTTCTTTGTTTCTCTGTCTAAAGAGATTTATAACATGATTTTTTTCACAAGCTTTTTTTCTTTTGATAGATTCTAGCCTAAAAGACCAAACAAACCAGCAAGTTGATGGTTCTCAGCTACCTATAAATATGATGCAACCGCAAATGAATGTAATGCAGCAACAAATGAATGCACAACACCAGCCTATGAATATCTTCCCATATCCAGTGGGTGTTCATGCTCCTTTGATGAACATCCAACGCAATCCATTTAACATTCATCCTCAGCTACCCTTGCATCTCCACACAGGAGTGCCCCTCATGCAGGTAGCCACTCCTACCAGTGTATCTCAGGGACTACCACCACCACCACCCCCTCCCCCACCATCCCAACAAGTCAACTACATTGCTTCACAACCAGATGGAAAGCAATTGCAGGTATGTTTTTAGCAACTCAAGTTTAATCAATATAGCCATTGTAAACATTTAGCTGTTCATGACAGATGTTCAAAAAAAGGCATCCTGGCATTCAAAAACAATTGTTTATTTGATTTCAGTTATGGTAAACCTTCATAATCCCTCTTTCACTATCCTTCTCAAAACCCCCCAACTCCCAAATTAGAAAATTAATTAAATACTTATTACCAAATCCAAGCTACATATATGCTGTTACTTATATCTGAACAGGATTTTTTTATTCATATTAAGTAAACCAAATTATAAGCCAAATTAGAATCGAGTGGTGGGTGCTTTACATTTTTCCCCTGTTTTGCACTGTTTAGGGGGTATATGGGGACGGTGGGAACTAGTGATTAAGTACTGTGATGAAGCTTTTATTGTCTTGTTCAGACAAACACTGGATAAAGCTGTTTATTATCCATTACCATCTGTGTTTCATTTTCATGAATTTATCATGCTAAAAAGAAAGGAGAAGTGCCTCTGTGAGACATAGAAAATTTGAATAATTTGCAAACAATTTGTTGCTTATAATTTTATGACTGCCTTTTAAAAATTTTAGAATCCTAGGCCGGGCATGGTGGCTCACGCCTGTTATCCCAGCACCTTGTGAGGCCCAGGTGGGTGAATCACGAGGTCAGGATCAGCCTGGCCAACATGGTGAAACCCTGCCTCTACTAAAAATACAAAAATTAGCCGGGTGTGGTGGCAAGCGCCTGTAATCCCAGCTACTAAGGAGGTTGAGGCAGGAGAATTGCTTGAACCCAGGAGGCGGAGGTTGCAGTGAGCCGAGATTGCACCACTGCACTCCAGCCTGGGTGACAGAGCAAGACTCTGTCTAGAAAAAAAAAAATACAAAAATTAGCCAGGCGCGGTGATGCATTCCTGTAATCCCAGCTACTCGGAGGCTGAGGCTCAAGAATCACTTGAACCTGGTAGTCGGAGATTGCAGTGAGCCAAGATCGCGCCACTGCACTCCAGCCTGGGAGACAGAGTGAGACTTCGTCTCTAAATAAATAAATAATTAATTAAAATAAAATAAAATAAATAGAATCCTGACAGTAAGATAGAGTTGAAGGAATAGGGAAATTGGATTTTAGTATTTGGGATCTTAATCTTTTTCTCCTGTCAACTTACTGCAAGCCTTTTTTCTCCTGTCAACTTACTACAAGCCATTTGACTTTACTGCCTTATTTTTTCCAGGCTTTAAAGTGAGGGCACTTTAATATTTGTTAATATTCCTAAAGATCCTTGCAGGAAAGATATAATTCTTTAAATGCTATTCTCCTCCTTGTGTTTAGTATTGCTGTCAAAATGTTACAATACATATATATAATTTAAAAGTCATCTTGACATATCTAAATAAGGCCCCGTTTAAGAATGTTACTCATTTTTCTTTAAAGGGCCCTTTAGATATAATTACCTGAAATATGCATTTTTCTTTAGTACTAAGGTTGGTTTGCTTTGTGTTTTTTAATGTTATTTCTAATGCATCACTAAAAGACTTCTATCGAGTACAAGTAATTCATTAACTGATGATAACTCTTTAAAACAGGGTATTCCTAGTTCTTCTCATGTAAGTAATAACATGAGTACACCAGTTTTGCCTGCTCCGACAGCAGCCCCAGGAAATACGGGAATGGTTCAGGGACCAAGTTCTGGTAATACTTCGTCATCAAGTCACAGCAAAGCCTCTAATGCTGCTGTAAAATTGGCAGAAAGCAAAGTAAGTGTTGCAGTGGAAGCCAGCGCAGATAGCTCGAAGACAGACAAGGCAAGTTCAAGGTTGAGAGCAACCTTCATAATTCTGTATATGATAAAGGAGAAAAAATATCAGCTTTTTATTGTATGAGTGGTGAAGGGAATTTCTTATTGGCTGTCTAAATGCCATTATTATTTGAAGGATTCTCTCTAGATGTGTTGATGTCCAGTAAATTACTGGTAATATTTTATAATTGTTTTTAGAAATGTTTGATATGTTTTAGTAAATAAACTGTTTTATATTTGTCACGTTAATAGTTGGAGAGTCTCTTATTGTAAATATGAAGTATTTTCAATTTCTTGTTTGGGATTTTGTGAGAGCAGTATGACTGGCAAATAATAAATTATACATTTTCTTCTCATCAGAAATTGCAAATTCAAGAAAAAGCAGCACAAGAGGTAAAATTGGCCATCAAGCCATTTTACCAAAATAAAGATATCACCAAGGAAGAATATAAAGAAATTGTACGGAAAGCAGTAGATAAAGTAAGTTATGGCTTTAGTGGAGTATGTGCACGTTGTTTTGAACCACCTCTGTTTTAATAAATGAATGCTGAAGTTTAATTAAAATAATAAAAGCTAGCTCCTACTAATTCCTGTCTACTTTTTTGCCTTTTGATTAGTTTGTGTGAGATAATGAAACATGAAAATAAGTCTGGTTATCTCTTTGGGGTTGTTTTTCACAAAGCTTTCTATTTTGGCTTTAATCCCTTTAAGCATGAAAAAAGTTTACCCCCCACCCCTTTTTTCTTAGGTTTGTCATAGTAAGAGTGGAGAAGTAAATTCTACTAAAGTGGCAAATCTGGTTAAAGCCTATGTAGACAAATACAAATATTCACGGAAGGGGAGCCAAAAGAAAACTCTGGAAGAACCTGTGTCTACTGAAAAAAACATAGGCTGAAATGGGGAACGCTGTCAAGGACATTATCAGGATATCTGCAAAGTGCAATTTCAACATGTACCATTAACTGAAAATCATACATAACTGTGATTGAAATTTGGTTTTGATAAAATTATTTTTTTAACATAGGATATGATGTTTTGTTCTAAATAAATATAGGTCTGCACTGCAACTTCTGTATCCTTCCTTCCCCTCCACCCTCCCCCACAAAATTCAAGGGAAAGTAAAGGGTTTAAAGGAATGTGCATCTTTACTAGGACTGTGTTATAGTGTGGATACTGGAAAATGTATAGCTTTTTGATTAGGGCAATGGAGTGCATAAATTAGAAACTTCTAAGTGCACTGGTTTTCAAAGAGATATATATAATGCATTTATTCTGTCAGGTTAAAATGTAAAGTATGATCTTTATGATTTTTTCCCTCTAATTATAGAAAGTTAAATAATGTATTACCATGAAAAATGTTTCTAATATTAAATAGAACATATCAGTTGCAAAGTTCCTAATGTGTATTTTTAAAGCACATATCTGAATAAATTGCCTAGATAGAAAAAAAATTATCACGAGTAAAATTTAGTGTTCAAAACATTGAGACACTCTTCACCTATTGTATGACCAAATAAAGGTTATGCTGCTTGTTTTTCTTTTGTGCCTTTGTTTACCCCTAATTGAGATAAGCAGTTTGACTTACTAGATTACAACTTTGGCAGTTCAAAGTCTTTGTTGAAGACTTTGAGGAAAAAGATTTGGAAAAATTGTTGACTTTCGGCCGGGCATGATGGCTCACGCCTGTAATCCCAGCACTTTGGGAGGCCGAGGTGGCGGATCACCTGAGGTCAGGAGTTCGAGACCAGCCTGGCCAACATGGTGAAATCCCGTCTCTACTAAAAATACAAAAATTAGCCAGGCGTGGTGGTGGGCGCCTGTAATCCCAGCTATGCGAGAGGCTGAGGCAGGAGAATCAGTTGAACCCGGGAGGCGGGGATTGCAGTGAGCCGAGACCATGCCATTGCACTCCAGCCTGGGCAACAGGAGCAAATCTCCGTCTCAAAAAAAAGAAAAAAAAAAGTGTTGACTTTGTAGAAATTATGTTCTTTCATAGTATCTTCTTCTACCCGTTGCAGACGATAAATTATTTGTGCCAATTCGAGAATTGCTGTTAGGCTGTTATCCTCCCTTCCTTGGGGCTAAGAATTACAAGACTCATGGCACTGGCGTAAAGTTGTTGTTTATCTAATCACTGATGAAATATTTTCACACTTGAAAATCCCCAAATGCTTTACAATGAATGAAGTGTTAATTTGGTGACCAGGTGGTAGCCATTAGCCATGTTGCAAAATTCTAGACAGTAAAACCTGTGTTTTAGAAACAGAGGGGAAATTTAAATAATGGAGTCCTGGTTAGCCTTTCAGGGATTAGGGATTTGGGTTTTTTTTTTTTTCTCTTTTTAATACTAGAATATCTCAGTTTTTATAAAAGGTAAGTTTAAAATGTTTATTGTGCCATTATTTTAACTGGCATCTTGAAAGAACAGTAGGTTTTCTCCATGATAAACTGATTCCAGTAAGAATTTTCAGTACATACCAAGTACCTGGAAAGTTCTTCAGATAAGTTAATAGATCCAAGGAGATACATGCCTCAGTGAGATAAACTGACCTTTTTACTAGCTAAACTATTTAGCCAGAGCAATACTCTGTAGAACTGTGCTTTTCTAAAGTAAAGATTATCTGTTTCTCAATTTTATGTGCATAATACTTTTCCTGGTGCTAGCTTTGATAGGCAAAATATTTTGAAATGTTGGTCCCATAATGATTGTGCTAGTTCATAAGCTTTGTTGTTATGAGTGTAATCATAAAAATATTTCCAAGCAGTTTTTGACCTTTATTCTACATTTCTGGGCATTTGTAATATGGTATTCTACTGGTATATATTTTTAAAGTTTGCGTTTAGATTATGGTAAAGAAATTTCAAGCATATTTCTTCTAATAAAGTATTAAGACAGTGTTTCAGAATATCAAGGCACACCTCCTTAGTTGTTTTAGATTAGAACTCTAGAAACAATTTTGTGAACATTGAAAGTATTTTGAGTTAAGCCTAAGCTGATTAATCACACAATACATACTTTTCCTGCATTTTCTTTCAGTGACATTTGAGAATTGGGTGACATTTTAAAATGTGTTTTATACCATTTAGCTTTTGCAAACAAGTTCTAAAGTTTTGGAGAAAAAGTGATGTGGTCAAGAGTTGAAGTCTCATATATCTTTAGTAGCACTCCCATGAATTATTTCCGTGACAGTAACAAGTGTGTGTTCCATGTCTGATTTGGGGCACTGGTTAGACTGCATTAATAGCTACTTGATTAGAATTCGAACTTTTAAAATTTTGAAATGTTTAAGAATGTATTAGAAAATGCATGCTTTATGTTGAAAAAATACATTGCTTTAATATTCCTCATTCTTGAGTTAAGAAATTTATGTTAATTTTGCATGGGCACAAACTTAATCAGAAACATTTTGTGGAGTTACATTTCCTCTTATTATTTATCAAGGTTCAGTATTGATCTTTGAAACCTTGGTCCCGTTAACTTACTAGTCACATTGACCAATGTTTTATAGAAATGCCTAGAATTTTGAGACTAATAGTAGTTATCCATTAACATTCCAAAAGTTTTGTGCTTTTTAAAATTTGTTTTGGTAATTATCACATTTTTTTCTCTTACCTTCCTTTAAATGGCCACAGTGTGTACTGCTGGAATGTTCCATCCAAAAGATGTAGCTTCAGAAGCACAGTGATTGCCCCAGGGTCCATGAGATATTGTTTGTATTATGAAGTTGGAGTGCTGTCTACTGAAATTATACTCTTAAATAAATATGTATGTAGTGTGTAATATTTTCTAATAAATTCTTTTGATAAACTAATGTCTTTAACATTTTATTATTAAGGTTCCAGGGGAATGGTGACTTTTCAATTATAATCCCTTACAAACGTATTGAAGTGTTACTTGGATTTGTACCAGTCATTCGCATCATGGTTACGTAATACCCAAGCTCTAAAGCAAGCTTAGAGTTAGCTATAAGCATATATTTTAATGGCATTTTCCCCTGATTACATAATTATTGTAAGAAATTAGAAAAACTTTAGTAAATGTGTAAAAGAAGAGACTGAAAAAGGAGAAAAATCACCTGTAATCCTACCAAAGGTAATAACTAATGCCAAGCAAACTGCACATAATATGTTGTAACCTTTCATTTTCACTTGACGTACTGAGAACTTTCCATTTTAGTAAAAATTACAGCATGATTTATACTGGCTGTATAATATTCTCTTTTTTTTTCTTTTTTTGAGATGGAGTCTCGCTCTGTTGCCCAGGCTGGAATGCAGTGGCGCCATCTCAGCTCACTGCACCCTCCACCTTCCGGGTTCAAGCAATTCTCCTGCCTTGGCCTCTTGAGTAGCTGGGATTACAGGCACCTGACACCACGCCTGGCTAATTTTTGTATTTTTAGTGGAGACGAGGTTTCACCATGTTGGTCTCGAATTCCTGACCTCAAGTGATCTGCCTGCCCAGCCTCCCAAAGTGCTTGATTTACAGGTGTGAGCCACCACACCTGGCCCAGTGGCTGTATAGTAGTCTATAACGTGACTGTACCAGTAAAAGAATCCTCCACTGTTGGATATTAAGTTGCCTTTTTTCTTTGAGACGGAGTCTCGCTCTGTCGCCCAGGCCGGACTGCAGTGGCGCTATCTCGGCTCACTGCAAGCTCCACCTCCCGGGTTCACTCCATTCTCCTGCCTTAGCCCCCAAGTAGCTGGGACTACAAGCGCCTGCCACCGCACCCGGCTAATGTTTTGTGTTTTTAGTAGAGACGGGATTTCACCGTGTTAGGATGGTCTCGATCTCCTGAACTCGTGATCCGCCCGCCTCAGCCTCCCAAAGTGCTGGGATTACAGGCATGAGCCACTGTGCCTGGCCTAAGTTACTTTTATGAATATAAATTAGTAAAATATAAATAAGACGTATAAACAGTCTCTACCAATTTCAGATTTTCTTGGGATTCTAGAATATTTTATCATAAAAAATCTTTTAAATGTAATTAAACATACATGATGCATACTTTCTAAAAATTGAATTACATATACTGTGAAACTTCATTTTCTTAAGCTGATTTTTCTATCCAGAGAACCACTACAGAGGTTTGTATATATTTCCAAACTCTTTAATCCGTTTACAAAATTTTTTTTAACTTGGCAGCAGGGTGGTTCCTGCCTGTAATCCCAGCACTTTGGGAGGCCAAGCCAGGAGGACTGCTTGAGCTCAGGAGTTGGAAACCAGTCTGGGTAACATAGCAAGACCCCGTCTCTACAAAAAATAAAGAAGTTTGCCAGGTGTGGTGGTGTATACCTGTGGTCTCAAGATACTTGGGAGGCTGAGGTGGGAGAATTGCTTGAGCCCAGGAGGCAGAGGTTGCAGTGAGCCAAAATTGTGCCACTGCACTCCAGCCTGGGTGTTAGAGCAAGATACTGTCTCAACAACAAAATGTTTTGTAAAGTTGCAGGAAAGCAGGTTGCACAGATCATTTTTCCCAGCATAGAATTATATTTTGTAAATTGTTCTGCATCTCTAGTTCCCTTAATAAATTGAAGATATATTCTAATGTCAGTACATATAAATGTGCCATGTTCTTTATAATGGCTACATCATGTTCCTCTATTGGTGGCCATTTAAGTTATGTGCAGGTTTTGGCTATTACAACGCTTTAATGAACACCCTTCTTTGTGACTTAATCGCTGAACAATTTTTTTTTTTTTTTTTTTTTTTGAGACAAGAGTCTCACTTTGTTGCCCAGGCAAGAGTGCAGTGGCACAATCACTGCTCACTGCAGCCTCAACCTCCCAGGCTCAAGCAGTCCTCCCACCTCAGCCTCCTGAGTAGCTGGGACTACAGGTGTGCACCACCACGCCCGACTAATTTTTGTATTTTTTGTAGAGATGGGGTTTTGCTGTGTTGCCCAGGCTGGTCTCAAACTCCTGGATTCAAGCAGTCCACCTGCCTCAGCCTCCCAAAGTGCTGGGATTACAGGCATGAGCCAGTGGCCTGTTCATCGGTCTTATTGAACATTCAGTTGTTCATCAAACAATGCATGCCTACTGTGTATAAGGAATTCTTAGATTCTTGATGTCTTGTCAGGTTTAATCTTACCCCAGTATTCTAAAAGGAATAGTACGGTAAATATTACCATATTAAGCTTTTAGTATGTGCTAGGCATTCTGTCAAACATTTCATATGTATTAC
This sequence comes from Homo sapiens, assembly GCF_000001405.40. Taxonomy (NCBI): domain Eukaryota; kingdom Metazoa; phylum Chordata; class Mammalia; order Primates; family Hominidae; genus Homo; species Homo sapiens. The sequence goes on along the minus strand of NC_000012.12, from coordinate 45,916,755 downwards.
CACATTTCATTTGTAAAACCAATTCTAGTAATTTGACGAAAAAATTGAGATGCATAAAGGATTAACTGAGTTACCTAGTTGCACAGCTACTTAATGGAGCCAAGATTCACATCAAAGTCCATGCTAGACTTCGGGATGTTACATTGTTGAGTTCACATACATAAACTTAACATTTGTATAGTAACGCAGGAATGATAGCTGATAGAGAGAAGTGAAAACAGCATGGGGAAAGTGAGAGGAAGAGACATTTATCATGTGTCTATTCAGGTCCACTCATTTTTTACTTTTTTTTTTGGAGACAGTCTCACTTTGTTGCCCAGCCTGGAGTGCAGTGGCATGATCTTGGCTCACTGCAGCCTCAACCTCCTGGGCTCAAGTGATCTTTACACCTCAGCCTTCCAAGTAGCTGGGACTACAGGCAGAGGCCACTCCGCCCATCTGATTTTTTTAATTTTATAGAGACAGGATCTTGCTCTGGTGCCCAGGCTGGTCTCAAACTCCTGAGCTCAAGCAATTGTCCTGCCTTGGCCTCCCAAAGTGCTGGGATTATAGGCATGCGCCATGGTGCCTGGCCTCATTTTTGACTTTTTAATAGCACTCCCATATTTCCTATTTTGGAGATATTAAACATTTAACCATGAAGCCATCTTTAGTGAATTATTTGCTTTTCTCACCCTGTTTTCATTTTCTCAAACAGTTGCTATCTCCTGTGCATCAATTCCTCCTTTACAATAAACTCCAGCTCCAGTTTCCAGCCATGTTACCTTTGACTTTTTTCAGTAGTTTTAACTCTTACTTAAATTCTGCGGAAACCAGTTTCATCTCAGAAACTATAGACTAATCATCCAATAGTACAGTTTTGGTCAAATTATTCCACATCATTTCTTCAACAGATAATGCCAGCCTGTGTGTGTGCTACACAGTAGAGAAGAGAGAGCAAAACAGTATCATCATGGAGCCATATGCTTGGTGGGGAAAACAGGTACATATATAACTGATGAGGGTGCAAATAGGACAACCAGATGCTCCAAGAATCTGATGGGTTTATAAAATCTAAGATTGGTCAGGGAGGACCCTTGGGGTGGGAAGGGGGTTGACACTTCAGCTAAGAGCCAAACGGTAGCTAGGCAGGGAGAGGATGAGCTGGCAGAGGGAATGGGGCAAGAGTGGGTCTAGCCAGAGATAGCATGGCATCTCTAAACCTGGAATGGCTGGAATGAAGATTGGGAGGAGTTTTTTGGCAGCATATTTTGTAAGGAAAAGCTTTTAAACTGGAGGTGTTTGACATGATCAGATTTGCATTTTGAAATGAGTGCTCAAAATGTTTCAATGGCTCAATACAAGCGGTTAGAACAAGAGAAGTGGGCCGGGCGCGGTGGCTTATGCCTGTAATCCCAGCACTTTGGGAGGCCAAGGCGGGCAGGTCACCTGAGGTCAGGAGTTCCAGATCAGCCTGACCAACATGGATAAATCCCGTTTCTATTAAAAATACAAAATTAGCCGGGCGTAGTGGCGCATGCCTGTAATCCTAGCTACTTGGGAGGCTGAGGCACGAGAATCACTTGAACCTGGGAGGCAGAGGTTGTGGTGAGCCAAGATCGCGCCATTGCATTCCAGCCTGGGCAACAAGAGCGAAATTCTGTCGTCTCAAAAACAAAAAAACTTACTTAAGAAGTGTTCAAGCAAAAACATTAAACAACAGTGTTTTAAGTTTTGTCGAATTGATAATTTCCAATTATGGCAAGAGTGCCACGATCAAACACTACTGTGGGCAGAGGGGTGCAAATATGTACAATTTTTCTGAAAGGCAATTTGAAAATATGTATAAAGAAACTTAAAGGGATTATATATTCTTTTCATAATATAAACATCCTGGTCCACATATTTCTTTCCAGTATTAGTGGAAAACTGGAGAGGGATGGTTAACATAAACTATGGTTCATTCATATGAAAGTATTTTACAGCTATTTTAAATGTTTCCGGGGGGCGGGAAATGGAAGAATGTACTCCTTTAATACTAAATGGAGAAAAAATAATAGGACACAAATTATATACCATTATCCTAACTTTCTTTAAAAACTTTAAGGCAAAAAAATACATATTATTAATAGAAGTTGTTTCTGGGTAATAGAGGATTTTTTCCCCTGTATGCTTTTGTCTCCCAAATTTCACACAGTTAATAAAAATTGCATGATCAGAAAAACTATCTTCAAAATTGCAGGCCTCACTGCTTGTGGTATGAGGGTGAGAGACGGGGTGAAGGCTTTGCTCTAGGCTGAAGAGCTGAAAGTTTCCCACACCAGAACTGGTCTGAGTTCTCAGATGCTTGAGCATCTGACTGTGATGGGCAAGTGTCTGGTGGCTCCTCACACTCAGCTCCTCAGGGAGGAGCTTAACTTCCCTGGCAACTGATGAGTTCTAGTCTAAGTAGTCAGCACGCACTGGCTTTGTGGGGTGAGAAATGCTTTAGTCATGAAGCAGTGGACTTCCCAAACCATAACTAGCTGAGCATACTGCCCACCAATCCTGTGAGTACCACAGAAGATAATCCATTTCTGGTGATAAGCAGGGGTATCACAGAGGGCCCCAGTATGCTATCTCTGAACCTGAATTGCCTATAAAAAGGGGTGCTGCCTATCTACCTTGCAGGGTTACTGAGGATTGAGATAATAGATGGGAATGTCTTGAAATTTCCTCCACATTTACTTGGGGAAATTCCTGCCTATATAACCAGGACTGTTTTCTCACTGCTTTCATCCCTGTTGCATCCCTGAAATGCAACTTAACTTCTAGCTGCCTACTTAGGGTCATATAGAGAGTTTTATAAAAGGCCATGCACAAGCACAGGCCCACCCCAGACCAATTATATCTGTCTCTGGGGATGGGGTATTTTAAAATCTCCCAGGTGGAGTCTAATGTGCAGCCAAGAAGCAAACCATGTAACTTTTTTAGATCCCCTGCAGATCACAGCTGTTTGGTTAGAATAACATAATTAATTAGATTACAACTTGTTCTCTTTTTGAGACAGTCTTGCTCTATCGCTGAGGCTGGAGTGCAGGGGCATGATCACAGCTCACTGTAGGCTCAACCTCGTGGGTTTAAGTGATCCTCCCACCTCAGTCTCCCAAATAGCTGGAACTACAGGCATGTGCTATCATGCTACTTTTTGTATTTTTGTAGAAATGAGGTTTCACCATGTTGCCCAGGCTGGTCTCAAACTCCTGGGCTCAAGCAATCCACCTGACTCAGCCTCCCAAAATGCTGGGATTGCAGGTGTGAGCCACTATGCCTGGCCAGATCACAGCTTGTTTGAAAGCCATTTGGATTCTATCCCTGCTCTCTGAAACATCAACAGCACCTGATAGTTTGTACACACACGTAACTCTTTTTAACATTGTTTTCAAATTCGAATCTACCACATTATCTGGAATTTTGAGCCCACTAAGCACTAGGAAGATGGCAAAACAGCACCTTCAGAGACAAGATGTCAGACATTTCCAGGATGTTCACACAGTAGTTCACAGTGCAATCAACCTCTTGTAGGAACCCAGCTGTTGGTAAAGTTAGGATGCGTATACTTAATTTAACAAGATTTTTATTTACACTCTTGCCTAACGGAGTTATAGCTTCTAAAATTATCATTGTAGTATTGCTTTTTCAAATAATTTCCAGAAATCTTTTTCTTATACACTTTCAAAGCTGATAGCAGGTTCTCCTTACTGCTAGCTAAGTACAGTCAATCTTAATTACCAACAGCAGTGGCTAACACGGAGCACTTATTACTGGCTCTGTGCCAAGACTTTTATTGTATTATCTACTTCAATTTTCCTAACAACCTTGAAAAGTAGGTTCCATTATTTACTTCATTTTAGAATGGAAAAAATGCTCTCAACCATCTTATAATATTCCTCTCAGCTCATTACATGGTCTGCCCAGCGATATTTCCTTTGTGAAGTATCCATGTCCTAACACTGACCCTTCCTCCAACCTATCTAGCAGTTTGGGCACTAGAAATAACATCTGTATATTTCTGTTTCCATTATCCTGCTCCAAAGTGTGTGAAGTCCTCATAATCAGTCAAATATTATAAATATAATAAACTAAGTGGTCACCCTATTTAGTCTTTCAGATCATCCTGCTGACTTCTAAATTAATCATCTAATTCAACTAATATTAATTATATACTTGTGATGAGCCACGTAATTCCTGTATGCCATATTGCCAACAAACTTTACAGCAGAACTCCAAACAAAATCTAATTACAAAGGAATGAGTCTGCTCAGGCTGAAGGTGAGGACTGCACAGCTGCTTAGCCATCCTCTTGCCTATGGCTCTCAATCTGACTTCCTTTGAGGCACCTCTGGTTAGTCCCATTCGCCCTCAGAACCTAATTTGGATTGTATTTGTACTTGCCATTTGCACACTTCCAGACTGCTCTGTGGAATTATCTTACTAGATAATAAGGGAAATTCCGCTCCTAAGTTAATGTCCAACAGAAACACATGCCCCAGTGCATCAAGAGACGAGTAGAATGTTTATAGCATCATATGTAGTTGCCCCAAATTAGAAACAATCTAAATGCCATCAGTATTGGGAATATTCAGCAATAAAAATAAGGGAACCATTGCTACATCCAACAATATAGGTGAATCTCACAACCAAGCTGAGTGAAAGATAGACACAAAATATAATCCAATACTGTATTTCTGTAATAGTTCAAAAATTGACAAAACTAAATTATAGTGTTTAGAGATCCATACTTACGTAGTAAAGGTAAAAAAAAAAACATAAAGAATAGAAGCAGTTGCCTTGAAAATTCAGATAGTGGTTACTGATGGGGGTTTAGGGGCTTTGATTGAGATGGGACATGAGAGGCTTCTGGGGGGACTATCAAGGTCTTTTCTTGATCTGGGCAACGGCTACATAGGGTTTGCTGTAAAACAATAAGCCAGGCACTGTGAGTCATGCCTGTAATCCCAGCTACTCGGGAGGTTGAGGCAGGAGGATTGCTTCAGGCCAGGAGTTCAAGACCAGCCTGAGCAACATAGCAAGACCCTATCTCTAAAAACATAAAAATAAAGCTCTACTCTACATTTTACTCACTTTGTTATATGTGTTATATTTCATAATTTAAAAGTTTTTAAAGAAAGTACCAAGGGGCTAGCAATTAACCCAAGGCCATTGTTTTAGATTTGATAGTCAAATCTACATTTTTCCCATTCTCTCAATCCAGTCCCAAAGGCAAAAAGAAAATCCATGAACTTGAAGGGGGAAAAAAAATCTCCATTCAAAGAATAATTTTGCATCACATAAGACATACATCTGTTAGGAACCAGAAATAAGTAAAAAGCAACAAACATTCAAGGGCCTACTCTGCACAAGATTGAAGTTGTGTGTTCATTTCAAATAGTGCTCAGCCAGGCATGGTGGCTCACGCCTGTAAATCCCAGCACTTTGGGATGCCAAGGCAGTAGGATTGCTTGAGCCCAGGAGTTGAGACCAGCCTAGGCAACATAGTGAGGCCTTGTCTCTATAGCCAATCAGTCAGTCAAAAACAATGCTTTCTGTATTAGATTGCACCAACTTTCAGGTCCTTTCTTTTTCTAAGTTACTTTAACCATGCCATTTTCTACCTAAAGATGAAAAACAAACTCATTTTCAATGGTTGTACAATTTAGAAAAGTGCCTGTCCCAGGCAGCTGCCTTGCAAAAGTGATTTCGTTTAAAAGGTCAACCTGAAAGCCAGTCTAGTTTTGTCTTTCACAGTTTAGCTATAAATAGAGCATCATATTTGATAATTCAAATCAATACATCTTCTCAAAAGCAAAGGCTAAACGTTTTCTCCAGTTTAGGGAAGTCATAATGTATAGTCCAGAGATTCCGAAGCCCCTCTCAACCAAATGTGTTGGTTAAACTTACTTACTACATTTGATTTCAAAACTACACTTTGTGGGGCCCTGTTAGTTCTGTTTACTAGGTGGCCAAGACATTTCTATCATCTCACTCTGCTCCTCCCTGATATTGTCGAGTTTCATTTTTGTGCATTTTGTGTGTGGAGAATGTTTATAGCTTTGACCTCTTACTAGTTAACCCCTGCACTTGTCAATCTATAACCTCCTCTCATCCTCAACAAGACCTCTCCAAACTCAAACTCTCTTACTACCATTAGGTCTGTCCATTTCTATTTTATTATTATTTTGAGACAAGGTCTCACTCTGTTGCCCAGGCTGGAGTGGAGTGGCACAAACACAGTTCACTGTAGCTTCAACCTCCTGGGCTCAAATATCCACATGCTTCATCCTCTCCAGTAGTTGGAACCACAGGTGTGCACCACCACACCCAGCTAATTTTCTTATTTTTTGTAGAGACAAAGTCTGCACCATGTTAACCAAGTTGGTCTCAAATTCCTGAGCTTGAGCAATCTTCCTGCCTCAGCGTCCCAATGTGCTGGAATTATAGGTGCGAACCACCATGCCTGGCTGAGGTCTGTCAAATTTCTACTAGCCCTTAGAATCTCTCATTAAAAAGACATTTTCCCTTCTCAGGGGTCGGGCGCGGTGGCTCACACCTCTAATCCCAGCACCTTGGAAGACCGAGGTGGGTGGATTGCTTGAGGTCAGGAGTTCAAGACCAGTATGGGCGACATGGCAAAATACTATCTCTACAAAAAAATAAATAAACACAAAAATTAGCCAGGCATGGTGGCTCGCACCTGTAATCCCAGCTAACTCAGGAGGCTGAAGTGGGAGGACCGCTTGAGCCTGGGAGGCGGAGGTTGCAGTGAGCCGAGATTACACCACTGCACTTCAGTATGGGTGACAGAGCCAGACCCTGTCTTAAAAATAAAGAAATAAAAGATAAAAAATAATACAAAGTACTTAAAAAGAAAAAGACATTTTGCCTTCTCCACAAAGCCTTTCCTACTTTCCCTTTCCAACTCAGCATCAAATGAAGCCTGCTACATGATTAAACTCCCCAAACTGTTTATAATTTCCTTATGGCACATGTTTTTATCTTTTATCGTATTGGGTATTATTTGTAAGTTTGGGCTACCTTCAGAGCAGGATGTCTCCGCCTTCCAAAGCAGCAGCATAGGTACTCCAACAGTATTGTGCATTGAAGGTGATTTAAAGGTGTACGCTGGGGAAAATCCTATTAACATCATACTATTGTTAAGGAGTATGACTCTTTCCAAAGGAGTCAGCAGATGGTTGTTTGAACTAGGCACCAGACGGATAGTTGATTAGAAACTGTGGTTTCAACTTACTATAAATATTTGTCTTAGAAATGGCCCTTTGTCAAGGGTATTTCCAGAAAATTTTTCTGGCTGTATAAAGTGGTGCCAAGTTAATGAATGAAATACTTGGGAAATCTGAAGAATTATGGAAAATCTTAAAAAGACAAAATGCAAAGAAAGAAAATACTAGGAACAATGAGGCAAATACAAACGAAAAGATCCACACCAAAATTAGGGGTACATAGTGTTTATACTAGCAGACTCCTGGCCTTGAGTCTGACTCTCTGAGGAAAGAATTCTCCCAATTACTCTTCATAACTAGGCTTCAGAGGAGCTGGATAGTTTAACCACTTACTTGCTGTTAAGAACCTGGTCAAGGTACTTACTCATCTTAACCCTCTTTTCCCCACTTGTGAAATATTAGCTATTACATTGGGCTGTTGTGAAGGCTGAAACAATACATGTAAAATGCTTAGCACAGTGCCTGACAGAGTAGTGTTCAGCAAAGTATTAGTGACTAGTTTAAAACAGCACCTTAAATTTTGGAAACAATTTAAATGTCCATCGATATGGGGTCTAGTTAAATATAGTATACCCATACAATGGAAAACTATATTGTATAGCTGTAAGAAGGATGAGAAAGCTATGTACCAATATGGAATAAACTTAAAATATTAAAATTTCAAGAAAGTACGGCATATTATTTATGGTATGACATATTTTTGTGTAAAAAAGAGAAAATATTGAATTCACTTGTATGTAATCAACACCAGAGATGTACTCAAGAAATGTGAACAGTGGTTATCTGGTTGGGGGACACGGGTGGTGAAGCAGATGGGAATGAGGCTTTTCATATAATTTAACTTTTTGATTAAGTTACTTTCTAAAGGCAGTTTATGTTTTAAATAAATGTATACAATGTGGGTTGTATCTCAGACTAAAATCCACAGGAGCCAGGACTTGACTTAATAATAGCCTTTTCTTTTAATATTTAAATGTAGTCTTATTAATCAAAGTAAATGGATCTACTTAAGTATATGCCAGTGTGTCTTAGTGTTTCTTATCCACACACAAGGCAATCCTGGACTTAATTTTTACCAATAGGAAATGAGGCTATATAATTGAAATGAAAGAGTTACAAATACCAGTGTAGTAATGTAATTAGACAGTGGTACTGTCTTCATTTGTTTTGTTGCCTCTGGAGAAGGCTAGTGTAGTTGTCGTATGACTGACTGCTGTATGAGTCTGAGAAGAGTCAAGCAGTATGAAAGTGATCGGCTAAAATTTCCTAATAGATACTGGATTTTGTTCTCATTTAACTTACTATTTGGTAACAGTGACAGTGCCAGGTGTCCCACGTGGTTAACCCCATAGCTCCACTTCTGCTCTTTAGCAGCTTCTGCTTTGCATCATGTTTCCTCTGTTTGGTATTTAACAGCAGTGGTTAAGATCAGGACAGAAGTCACTTATCCAAAACATTCTCATTTTAAAAATCATTTTATTGTCATTTCATGGTTAAAAAAACATACATGACATGACTATAAAGTAATGAGACGAGTTCTCAGGTGTGGGTTGGATTACTGAGTCTCATTAATATATAGTCACAATCCTGACTTGAGCTTGGAAGAAAAATATGCCTTCGCTATATGATTATCAATTTTGTTACTTAAAATTTATTGAGTGCCAACAGAGCACTAGGCACATATATAACACAGAATTATACAGTCTCTATGTTGTAGACTATATTATTTACATAGATTTCTCAAAGATAACATTAAAGCATGTATTTACAGAACTTTAGACAAAAATAACAATACTGTAAATCAGCAAGTTTCTGTCTAGCAAGGAGCACCTTTTCATGAATGAGAGGGTTTTGCAGAACTTATTGTGCAAAAGCACTTTAATTCCATTACACAGCAAGTCCATATTATTATATAGTTCTATAAAGCTATAAGAAGAAAAACCTAAGTGGGAAGCCATGATCAGTTTCATTAGGTCAAACGCATTTAGGAAATTCTCTGCTGAGACTGAAGCTTAAAAGGCTACAGTCATATTTACATATTATAGCAGAAAAGCTAGAACTACAGCATGCAATTCAATGAGGTGGAAGAATGGTGAATATGAAAACCATTTTTCTAAACCTGCAGTTTGTTCTCTTTTCTATTAATTTAATTACCACTGCAGTTTCTGATTTTGAGAAGACATTATCTTTCAAATAAACGTTGTTGCACAAATTTACTTTTTAAAAGAGATTTTTGGATAAGTACGGTGAATAGAAAATTCCCCATATGATGTCAACTACCAGGTGCTTGTAAGTTTGAGGGCTCTGAAGGCCATCCTAGGGATACCCACATGATTTCAGCGGTGTCTGTTGGGCAGTGCCAGTCTTGGAAGGTGGGCCAAGCATAAATTCCACAACCTTATAACTAATATTAGATGAAGTTTCTCAAACATTCCTTTGAGACATGGCAGGACAGCGCCAGGGATCCTCCTTCAGGAAGAAACTAGATTTTACATTGGTACTAATTCAATCAAAATATTTAAAACATTTTTAATATGGAAACTGAGGCTTTTTCACTCTAAGAATCTGCCTCCAAATTCAAGCTGAAGATTTGGATACACTGTGATTCTGAATAAACAGTCAAGAAACACAACATCAAACAATAAAAGCTTTTAGCCAAATGTACAGTATCCAGTAAAAAAAGGCATATTGAGCTTTAACTGCATCAATCATTTGCTGTTCTCTACATTTGCTCTGCATTATAACAAGATGAAAAATAAATACTTGGTTAATCTGCTTATTTCATGCAAATTTGTCATGTAAAGGACCTCTCTTATTTGTTCTCTATTTAATATGTTATCAATCAACATATAATCAAATAGGTAGGTGACCGTTATACCTTGCCTTCAGCTGAATTTAGAATTCTCTCTATATTTTTAAGATGTCTTAAGCATACTCAGAAATGAAGGACTCAAGAAAATGTTCAGTCTTTTATTTAAAAACTATAAACAGTCACCAAAGTAAATAAAGCCATTCTATAACATAAACTGTTAGGTCTATATTTTTTACTGCACATCCTAAGGACACAGCAGAAATGGTGGTTGGGAGGCCTTCCACATTTTTGGATGCTAATAGAACAGGCAATAGGCAGTTATAAATGGATACATTTCACGCTGGGGGAAAAAAGACAATTTAAGGAAGTGAGCAGTTTCTGAGCAGGAATGTGGTACAGTATTAAGAATGGAAGAATAATACAATAAAATTCCACACTATATTAAGATAGAAAAAGTAGTGAAGAAAATATCATACCTGCACATAATGCATATATAACACAGGAGAAAACCTGTATAAAATTCCATGTATTTAAACCAATTTACAAATACAAAAAATTCTGTCCAAGCTCTGAGCTTGTACACGACAAACGTTTACAGTGGATACATGTTAAGGAAAACCAAAAAATACCTTCAAATAGTTTTTCTTCTAAAAAATGACATGAGATATATTATTCCATACTCTTTCAGCCAGCAAAATGAGTTCTACAAGGTGTATAATACAAAAAAAAAAAGAAAAAAAAAAAGAAAAAAGAAAAAAAAATCACAGTTCCACAAAACTGTTTTGACTTTACAGCATCAGTACCTTTGCAGAAGTATTTACACAAATTTAAAGAACATTCATCCACTGCATAGAATATATCACAATTACTTACAATTGACAGGAAAGTCTAGAAAACTTTAGAACCTACCAATAATGCTTCTAGGACACCACAGAATGTATTTCCAGTGGCTGCAGTGGCATGAAAGGTATTCATTCTATTCACAAATATTTACAAGATCTATTCAGACTGGTAAATTTTTATGATAATAAATAAGTGAAAATATATTGGCTCAAGTAAGAAAACCAAGCTACTGATTTCTAAACAAAACACACGATCCATAGCTAGATATTGGTGGCCCCCTCTGAGATCGGGGGTATAGGTGTGCTGAAACTTTTTTAAATTATTCAAACCAGCTTAAACGGTTTTGTAAATATAAAAATGTGCTCCTTTTTGGATATAGATAAAAATATTTAATGCTTCTATTTCATCTGCTCATGTAGGTTTTACAATATTCCATGTATATTCCAATGTGGATGGTACTGAATTCTGATCATACCAGTTTCCATCAGGATTTATCAGATCTGAAACATCCTGCAGATAAGCTGGTTGACAATCCCACAGCAGTTCTTTTTTTTTTTTCCTTTTTCTTTTTAGATTTTTTTAAACAGAGAACAAAGGGATTCACTCAGAGATCAGAATACGAAGCTTCCTCTCAGCATCATGGGAGGAGATAAAATAATTCATTCTATGGTCTTTGTTCCATTAAGACTTGGTGCTTTCTTCAGTAACAGTATGTGAAATGTGGCTGACTTTGAGTCCCCCACTGTGTAAGTGGAATTATTTTTCACTGCAGCATTTCTGAGTCTTTTTCTTGTTCCTTACTCTGAACTGTAAAATTAAGTTCATAAAGGCATTTGGCAAGGGTGGAGGAAGCTTCCATGTTACTAATGGCTAGCACTGATAAGTTATTTTCATGTCTCTTTAACAATCTGCAAAAAAACATATAGAAGATTGTCAGTCTCCAAGGTCACAGCGATGACTCTTTATCATGAATTTTGCAAGTTTAAAAACTAAAATAGAAACAATACATAGCTCCACACCCCGTAAATGTTAATATAGTATTGCAGGAAGAGAGGGAAGCATCTGGGAAACAACTAGAAGGATAAACTGAGGCTGACTATTACTGTTTGCCTTTTCTGCATAGTACCTTTTTTTTTTTTTTTTTTTTTTTTTGAGAAGGAGTCTCACTCTATTGCCAGGCTGGAGTGTAATGGCGCAATCTTAGCTCACTGCAACCTCCACCTCCCGGGTTCAAGTGATTCTCCTGCCTCAGCCTCCCAAGTAGCTGGGACAACAGGCGTGTGCCACCACGCCCAGCTAATTTTTGTATTTTTAGTAGAGACGGGGTTTCACCATGTTGGCCAGGACGGTCTCGATCTCTTGACCTTGTGATCCACCCGCCTTGGCCTCCCAAAGTGCTGGGATTACAGGCGTGAGCCACCGCGCCCAGCCTCTCCATAGTACCTTTCTAAATATGGAAGGCTGCACAGCAAAATTCTTTTTCAATCTTCATTCATGTTTCTAGAAAATTTAGAAAATGGTGTCAGAAAACAGCTGGAGAGGAACAAAATGGTTGCTTTTAAGGGATGACATGAAATTAAAATTATATTGTAGGTATAATTAAAGCTTCTTAGTCTTCATTAAGTGAAACCAAGCCACATCTAGCTTAACTATATCCTAAATGCCCCATTAGCCATAAAAGCTGTTTTCTAAAAACTTATCAATCTTAAATTTTCTACCCAAAAGATCACAATATTGATGTGGCTATCTATATAATGAGAGATTATAAAAGTGAGCATCATCTAGCTAAAAAAAAGGGATGCTGGGGGCTGAGAAAAATGGTAAAAATCACCCAGAACTGTGGGATGGATAAATGGACAGATATGTGATAAAGCAAGTATACTAAAATATTCATGGTAATAGCTAGGTGGCAGGTATAAAAAATTTCATTGCAAACATTTCAAATTTGCCTATGTGTGAAAAATTTTATATTAAATGTTAAAAAAAAATATCAGCCAGCATGAGATTACCCAGGAACCTTGGTGCCTTCATTAAAATAACTCCGAATAAAAGAAACTACAGGAGAAAAAAAGAGAAGATGAAGACACGTACATTTTGAATTAAAAAACACTGTAGAAAAGAAGTTTATGGAAAAGATGCAAAAATTCAAAATCAAAATTTAATGTAGGGACTGGAGTCACTTTTACTATAGTAAAGCAAAGGAAAAGAAATGAGCAAAAAATGAGACTGAAGAATAAACAGTTGGGCATCTTTTCATGTTTTTTGGGCCATTTCAGTTTTATGTAGTTTCCATATATACATACCATCACACACTCAAAAGAGTGGATAAAATTAAACATTTTAATTACAATACCAAATGTTGGCAAGTACATGGAGTAGCTGAGACTCTCATACATTTCTATAGAGTGTCAATTGATAAAATCATTTTGGAATTGGTTGGCATCATGTAGCAAACTTTTAACATCTTATGAGTCACCAATCCTTTGAAAACACTCAACAGAAATATGTTCCGTATATGGCCAAAAAACAGAATATGGTTTAGAATGTTTATAGCAGCATTACTCTTAATAGCCCCAAATTGGAAATAACCCATTTGCCCATCAAAAGCAGAGAAAAAAATACAATAATATGAATAAAATACTATCATGCAACAACATGAATCAATCTCAAAAATATAATGCTGAAAATAATATTGTATGATTTCACATATAGAAAGTTCAAAATCAGGCAAAATGAACCTCTGGTGTCACAGATCAGGATAGTGGTCCCTTATAGAGAGGAGGATGGAGTAAAGATTGGAGAGAACATGAAAGATTTCAACTGATATTGCTCTATTTCTTAACTTGGACAGATAGTTATATGAGTGGTTCAGTTTGTGATAATTCACTGAACTTTACACTTCTGTTTTATAAAATCTTTATGATTTTCTTTAAAATTTTATTTAACAACTTTTAAAATAAAGTATGAAATTTCTAAGATCTTTCTGGAAAAGAAAAATTAGTTGTACAAAAATTGATTTAAAAATTTACAAAACGCTTTGGGAGGCTGAGGCAGGCGGATCACGAGGTCAGGAGTTCGAGACCAGCCTGGCCAACATGGTGAAACCCCATCTCTACTAAAAATACAAAAAATTAGCTGGGCGTGGTGGCAGGAGCTACTTGGGAGGCTACTAATCCCAGCTACTCAGGAGGCTGAGGCAGGAGAATCGCTTGAACCCAGGAGGCAGAGGTTGCAGTGAGCCGAGACTGCACCACTACACTCCAGCCTGGGCAACAGAGCGAGACTCCATCTCAAAAAAAAAAAAAATTTACAAAATAAAAATAACTTTACAAAGTACAATCAGTTTTTCCCCACAATCAATGAATATTTTAACAAAGAAAGAAAAAAGACTTTAGTTTCAAAAAGTTAACAAAATCATATTTTTCAAAGTGATAGTCACATGTTAAAAAGTATTCTTTTATTTGAATATTGCATGGATAAAACTAGAAAGAATAAACTGAAATCACTAGGATGATTTTAAAGTAACTAATAATTTCCTTTTTGATATAAATGTTTAATTTTTTGAGGTTTTAAAAAATTAAGCACTCACTTTGTTTTGATATAAAACAAAACATGCCTAATTTGTTTTTTTATAAAATGATATTCTTTCAACTTCTAAATTCACATGTTAGTTTTTTGAGATGATTTAACAAAGAATAAATATTGGGTCACTCTAATATCCTTAACAGATAATAAAAATAATTTCTAAGCAACACTAGTAAAAACCATTTAGGATACAAATCAGCTTCTAAGAAAACAAGTTTAAACAAGTTTCTTTCCATTCCCTCCTCAAAACAGTACGAAGGGTAAAAGAAATTTATTTTTTGCTAGGCGTGGTGGCTCACGCCTGTAATCCCAGCACTTTGGGAGGCCGAGGCAGGTGGATCACTTGAGTTGAGGAGTTCAAGACCAGCTTGGGCAATATAGTGAGACACCCTCCCCCACCCCCCACCTTACAGAAAATTAAAAAATGAACTGTTGGGCATGGTGGCATATGCTTGTGGTCCCAATTACTCAGGAGGCTAAGGTGGGAGGATCACTTGAGCCCAGGAGGTTGGAGGCTGCAGTGAGCCATGATGGCCCCACTGAACTCCAGCCTGGGTAACAGAGCAAGACTCTTGTCTTGGGGGGCGGAGGATAAGCAAACCCCCAAATCCTCAGAAATTTGAGGAATTACAAGGAAAGAGTAACCATACACAGATTGGGAAAAAACTACAAAAGTAGAGGTGTTAATATCCTCAGAGAGATGAGAAGACACCACTAAGAACAGGATGTTATAAAATAGTAACAACTGGCAACCAATAACAAGCTCTTAAAAATTAAGGAAATTTCCGGCTGGGGGTGGTGGCTCATGCCTGTAATCCCAGCACTTTGGGAGGCTGAGGAGGGCGGATCACGAGGTCAGGAGATCGAGACCATCCTGGCTAACTAGGTGAAACCCTGTCTCTACTAAATATACAAAATATTAGCGGGGCATGGTGGTGGGCGCCTGTAGTCCCAGCTACTCCAGAGGATGAGGCAGGAGAATGGCGTGAACCTGGGAGGTGGAGCTTGCAGTGAGCCAAGATCGTGCCACTGCATTCCAGCCTGGGCAACGGAGCGAGACTCTGTCTCAAAAAAAAAAAAAAAAAAAAAAAAAAAAAAAAAATTAAGGAAATTTCCAAAAAATAGATTAAACAGAGAGAAAACAGAAAGCTAAAAGAGAAAAGAAAAAGAAACATACCAGAAAAGTTCCCATTACTGAAGGATATAAATCTCCAGATTGAAAGGACCCACCAAAATGAAATAATGACTTCAATGAAAACAACAACAAAACACCCACCGAAGACACATCATCATCAAGAAACCTCAGAATATTCAGAAATAAAGAGATCACAACAGTTTCTAGAGGGGGGAAAACAGATCACATACAAAGAAATGGGAACCAGAATGTCACTAGTCTTCTCAACAGCAAAGCTGGTGCTAGAATACACCAAAGCAATGCCCTCAGGTTTTTAAAGAAAAATGATTTTTCAATCTAGAATGTTATGTACAGCCAACAACTATCAAGAGTAAGGGTAGATTACAGACATTTTTAGGCATGTAGGGTCTTAAATGATTGAAGGATATGCTTTTGCATGAAGAGAGTAAAACAAGAAAAGAAAATAAATGGGTTTCAACGAAAAGGGATTCAACATGGAGGTAATTCCTGAGAAGAGGTGTGTACCAGGTCCAGAGAGCAACCTGTCTAGACTGCAGAAGAGCAGTTTGCAAGGAAAAAAATATTCTAAAAATGAAAATTTGACAGAGGTTTAACAACTGTGTTTCAGTATGTGGACAGCTTATTGACAGGCTTGAAAGATACTGATTAAAATATATGGTACAATCAGTATTAGGCCCGTAAAAAGCCAAGCAAAAAGCATGGCACTCATGCTTTTTATGGGCCTAATACAGAGACAAAAAAGCTGGGTATGGTGGCTCACACCTGTAATCCCAGCCCATTGGGAGGCCAAGGTGGGTGGATCACTTGAGGTCAGGAATTGAGGACCAGCCTGGCCCACATGGTGAAACCCCATCTCCACTAGAAATAAAAAAATTAGCCAGGCGTAGTAGTGGGAGCCTGTAGTTCCAGCTACTCAGGAGGCTGAGGCAGGAGAATCACTTGAACCTGGGAGGCAAAGGTTGAAATGAGCCGAGATCACGCCACGGAACTCCAGTCTGGGTGACAGAGCGAGACTCTGTCTCAAAAAATAAAAATAAAAAAGAGAAAGAAAAACATAATAGTATAGCACTTGGCTCAACATCAAACAATCCAACAATATCTGATTTAAGATTTAATCAACGACTGTGATGGAACAATAATATGATGAGGTAAAAGTAAAGTGGGAAGAAGAGAGGTTTATCCAATTTCTTAAAAGGGAAGTCAATAAATGTATAAAATTAGATAAGTTAAGAAATAGTAACATAGACATATTTTGAAATATGAAAGCAATTGCACTAGCTCAAATTGTTGCAGGCTCCCCCCTTGGAGGTGGGAGGGGGGGGTAAAGTAGGGAACTATTTGGTTATATATATATATATAAAACCATATATATATAACCATATATATATAACCATATATATATATAACCATATATATATAACCATATATAACCATATATATATATATAACCAAATATATATATATATAACCAAATATATACATATATATATATTTTGAGATGGAATCTCGCTCTGTCGCCCAGGCTGGAGTGCAGTGGTGGGATCTCGGTTCACTGCAAGCTCCGCCTCCTGTGTTCACGCCATTCTCCTGCCTCAGCCTCCTGAGTAGCTGGGACTACAGGCGCCCGCCACCACGCCCAGCTAATTTTTTTGTATATTTTACTAGAGATGGGGTTTCACTGTGTTAGCCAGGATGGTCTTGATCTCCTGACCTCGTGATCTGCCCGCCTTGGCCTCCCAAAGTGCTGGGATTACAGGTGTGAGCCACCACGCCCAGCCTGGTTATAACTTTTGTAGCACTTACTTTTTTTTTTTTTTTTTTTTTTTTTTTGAGACAGAGTCTTGCTCTTTCGCCAGGCTGGAATGCAGTGGTGTGATCTTGGCTCACCGCAACCTCCGCCTTACGGGTTCAAATGATTCTCCTGCCTCAGCCTCCTGAGTAGCTGGGACTACAGGTACGCGCCACCACGCCCAGCTAATTTTTGTATTTTTAGTAGAGATGGGGTTTCACCATGTTGGCCAGGATGATCTCAATATCTTGACCTCGTGATTCACCTGCCTCAGCCTCCCAAAGTACTGGGATTACAGGCATGAGCCACCACGCCCCGCCTTGATTTTTTAAAATTTATTTTTTCTAACACCTTCATTGAGGTATAATTCACACACTATACAATCTATTTATTTATTTGAGATGCAATCTTGCTCTGTCACACAGGCTGGAGTACAGTGGCATGATCTCAGCTCACTGCAACATCCGCCTCCTGGGTTCAAGCGATTCTCCTGCCTCAGCCTGAGTAGCTGGGATTACAGGCATGCGCCACCATGCCCAGCTAATTTTTATATTTTTTAGTAGAGATGGGGTTTTGCCATGCTGGCCAGGCTGGTCTCAAACTCCTGACCTCGGATGATCCGCCCGCCTCAGCCTCCCAAAGTGCCGGGATTATAGGCATAAGCCACCGCGTCTGGCCCAATCCACCCATTTAAACAAAAATTCTCTCGTTTTTAGTATATTCACGGAATTGTGCAACCATCACCACAATTCTAGAATATTTTCATCATCTTTAAAAGAAACCCAATACCCATTAGCAGTCACTTCCAATTTTCCCCAAATCCTTCCTTTGTTGTGTTTTAGTTTTTTTCCATTGTGGTAAAACATACATAACATAAAACGTACTATTTTAACCACTTTTAAGTGTACAGTTCAGTGGCATTAAGTACATTCATACTGTTGTACAACCATCACCACTATCCATCTCCACAACTTTTTCATCATCTCATAATGGAACTCTCTACCCACTTAACAGTAACTCTCCATTCCTGAACTACCCCCAGCCCCAGTAACCACTGTTCTACTTTCTGTCTCTATGCATTTGACTCTTCTAGGTATCTCATAAGTGAAATCATACCATATATTTGTCCTTTTGTGTCATGCTAATTTCACTTGGCATGATGTTCTCAAAGTTTATTCATATGTAGCATATGTCAGAATTTTTTTTCCTTTGTAGGCTGGGCTCAGTAGCTCACGCCTGTAATCCTAGCACTTTGAGGGGCCGAGGCAGGTGGATTGCTTGAGCCCAGAAGTTCAAGACAACCCTGCACAACATGGTGAGACCTCGTCTCTACTAAAAACACAAAAACTGAGATGGGAGGATCACCTGAGCCTGGAGAGGTCAAGACTGCAGTGAGCCATGATTGCTCCGCTGCAACCCACCCTGGGCAACTGAGTGAGACCCCGTCTCAAAGATAAAAAAAAAAACCTCAAAAACTCATAGAACTGTACACTAAAAAGCGTGAACTTTACTATAAGTAAATTGTTTTTTCCTTTGTAATACTGAGTAATATTCCATTGCATGTACATGCCACATTTTGTCTATCATCGATGATAGACACTTAGGTTGCTTCCACACCAATTTTTGTCTCTTATGAGTAATAGCCATCAATATTGGTGTAAACATATCTTTCAATTCCCTGCCTTCAATTCATTTGTGAATATACTCAGAAGTGGGACTGCTGAATGAAACAGGTAATTCTGTTTGTTTTTTTAAGGAACTGCCCTGTTTTACACAGTAGTTAGGCATTCTCTATATATTCTGAATATTAGTTTCTTCTCAGACAGGTGACTTGCAATTATTTTGTCTAATTCTATGGGTTGCCTTTTTACTCTGTTGATAGTATCCTTTGATGTACAAGCTTCAAATTTTGACGAAGTACAGTTTGTCTGGTTTTCCTTTTATTGTCTGTGTCTTTGGTGTCATATCCCAAGAAATCACTGCCAAATCCAATATTATAAAGCTTTTGCCCTGTGTTTTCTTCTAAGAGTCTTACGGTTTTATATATGGTACAGGGTAAGTGTCCAACTTCATTGTTTTGATGTACATATCCAGTTTTTCAAATGCCATTTGTTGAAAAGACTGTCTTTTCCTCATTGAATGAAGAATTGTCATACTTATGGAAAATCATTTGACCAAATATGTGAGGACTTACTTTTTGGGCCCTCTCTTCTATTCCATTGGTCTCTATGGCTGTCTTTATGCCAGTACCACGCTGTTTTGATTATGTTAGCTTTGTAGTAAATCAGAAGTGGGAGTCCTGCAACATTGTTCTTTCTCAAGATTGTTTCTGCTATTCAGGGTCTCTTGAGATTACGTATGAATTCTAGTACGAATTTTTCTTTTTTTGAGTAAGATTATCACTGTATTTATTTTCCTATATTTTTTCTATAGCTTCAATGTTTTATCTTCAAAATGAAAAGAAAAACATCCCCAAATTTAGAACTGGATCATTTGGCCCTTTCTCTTCTTTATCTCCTCCCAGTTCAAAATGCTTGCATCTCTTAATGGCCAGCATCCTGTTGATCTGCTGTTAGGCTCAACACATTCCACCCTTAGCATAATCGTGGTTTTAGCCTTTGTATTAGTCCGTTTTCACGCTGCTGATAAAGACATACCCAAGACTGGGCAATTTACAAAAGAAAGAGGTTTATTGGACTTTTAGTTCCACGTGGCTGGGGAGGCCTCACAATTATGGTGGAAAGTGAAAAGTACGTCTCACATGGTGGCAAACAAGAGAGCTTTTGCAGGCACACTCCCTTTTTTAAAACCATCGGATCTCGTGAGACTTATTCACAATAATGAGAACAGCACAGGAGAGACGTGCCCCCATGATTCAATTACTTCCTGCCGGGTCCCTCCCACAACATGTGGGAATTCAAGAGGAGATCTGGGTGGGGACACAGCCAAACCGCATCAGCCTTCTTTTGGAAAACTGACTTTGTCTGCCCACCACAGCCACTCTGCTTCCAATCATAGCACCTCTTTCCCTGGGCATACAGGGAATCCTTGCCCTTCTCATACTGTGTCACTTTTGTAAGGCTGATGCTTACCACACTTCTTACACAAGGTTCTTTGGGTTTTAGGCACATTGACCATCTCCGCAGCAGAGCTGCCCTGTCTATACGATGAAAACAGGAAACTGCATCTGCAACCCTCACCTCGTGTCACTCACACATAACTGGATTTTTCTATTTTTTCAAAAATCATTGGGATGTTGACAGGGGTTGCACTGAATCTGTAGAATACTTTGGTAGTACTGACATCTCACCTAAATTAAGTCTTCCAATCCATGAACATGAGAAATCTTTCCAGTTGTTTATATATTCTTTAATTTCTTTCAGTAATATTTTGTAGTTTTCAGTTTACAAATCTTCTCTTTGGTTAAGACAACTCCTAAGTATTTTACTCTTTTTGATGCTATTGTAAATGGAATTACTGGCCAGGTGCGGTGGCTCACACCTGTAATCCCAGCACTTTGGGAGGCCGAGGCAGGTGGATCACGAGGTCAGGAGTTCAAGACCAAACTGGCCAACATGGTGAAACTCTGTCGCTACTAAAAATACAAAAATTAGCTCGGCATAGTGGCATGAGCCGATAATCCCAGCTACTCGAGAGGCTGAGGCAGGAGAATCGCTCAAACCCAGGAGGCAGAGGTTGCAGTGAGCCGAGATCGTGCCACTGCACTCCAGCCTGGGCGATAGAGCGAGACTCTGTCTCAAAAAATTCCAGATCAGAACTCTAGGAGAAAATGAATTTCCCACCACCTGTCTATCAATCAAATACTTACTGAATGACTATCATATTGCCAACACTATGCTAGGCACTAAAGATACAAAGATCAAAATACTGAATCCCTACCTTCAAAGAGCTCATCATCTAAGGTGGTAACATGCAACACATGGGGCATTAGGGAATATGTACTGTGCTCCAGGTCAGGGTTAAGGTAGTAAGGAAGACATCAGGAAAGGAAGCAGTAACCACTGAGTTGAATCTTAAAGGATGAATAGGAGGTAGAGGTTATAATGTGTTGGGCACTGTGCTAAGTGTTCAAGCTACAAAGATTAATCAGAGGAAGTCTCTGCACATAGTTCTGTAAGGGAAAAAGCCACATAAAAAAACATTTTCAAAACAATGAGATTAAAAGTTTTAAGACAGACATGTTATAAAAATAGAGGAGAACAAGCTCAGTAGGGAAGGGGAATAGAGCAAAGGAAAAGCTACACAAAGAAACTCATGTCTGAACTGAATCATGAAGGATAAGCAGATATTCAATAGGTGGGCAACGCAGGGAGGAGGGCATTCTAGGCAGGGAGAATAGTATGAGCATTGGAACAAAGGTACCAAGTGTGACTTGAGAGAGCCCAATGTGATTAGGAACTTGCATGTGGCTTAGTTTCACTGAAATGTAGGCTATGAAACAAAAAAGAGGTTAGAAGGGAAATAAAGTAAGAAAAGTAAAAAGAAATGTTATGAACTAAATCATGAAGATACTGGTATTCTCATATGGTTACTAAACCTTTATATTTCTTTTTTTTCTAAAAAAAACTTGGCTCAAGTGTTAAAAATTTTCCTGTTCATTTATACTTGATTAAATAAATATAGTAACATTTGTCATTGCAAATACTTTTCAACTTTAGCTTTAAATGTTATTCACCTTCCACTTAGAGAAATCTTAAAACAATATAGTCAAATTCATTTTCTTTTTATAATTGATACCACTATTTTTATGCTTAGAAAATTCAGTTTAAAGGTCATTGCAAAAAAAATATCATAAAAGACGTAAGACAAGGTAAAATAGTGGTGTAGGGAAGAACTAACATGGATTCAAAATACATTAAGGAGATGGAACTAATATTATGTGAAAGGGAGGGCCTGAGATAGAAAGTGACTATCAGGAACACAAGATGCATCTGAGGACAATTTCGCAGAGAGGCGGCCCAAGACTGGTCAATTGAAGATGTAGGAGGAATTCTAGAAAAGTAACTAAGGAAGACAAGGTATTGACAGAATATTCTATATTTGCTCTCTCACGAATTAATGAGTTATCCCTCCTAGTTTCTGTAGATCTACAAAATCCTGGGTTTTCTTTTGCTTAAATCCATTGGAAAGTTAAGTTTTAAAACTTCAGAGTATTATACACATACCTTAACATTATTTATGCCATTGATGGGTACATGAAAATGCCAGGTGTCAAACTGAATTTCATTTGGACTCCACGTGATTCAAATGATCAAATTCCTTTGTTTTCCCCAATAAACTCCTAAGTTTCCTCTTTAGTACAGCTGCTTTTTGTTCTAAATTATATGGTCAGTAAGACAAATTAACTTAATAAAACAACTTAAGAGACCACCTTTTGGTTGTTTTAACTTCTATTTATTTTTGACTTTTAAGAGCTCATCATGGCCTGACCTAGGCATAAACTTTTGGATGTATTTGCAAAATTGATGAGAAAAACAATGAAGAAAATACAGTTATCTAATTTTATTAACTTATATGTAAAAATAAAATAAACTAAATTCACTTTGGCTACAGAAAACATATTACTCACCTGCGACCACATTCTGAATATTTACCAATATTTTTTAATATTAAGGCAGCTGTTAGTCGGATGTGTTTAGTTATTGGTCCCTCTTTTTCATCCTTAAAAAGAAAGGAAAAAAAAGAATAAAGATCTAAATCATACAGGACTCAGACTTTTACAGATAAGGGTTTCAAGGCATGCTTACTGTAAAATCTCGAAAGACAAGGTTTCTTGATCCTCTCCTCAGAGCCATAAGTGCAGCACTGGGATGATTCACAATGGCCTTTTGTGCTCTAGGAGTTGAGCTTGTGCCCCCTACAGTTGGCTGCCTAAATTGATCAGAGAGAGAGAGAGAGAGAGAATTAACGTGATACTGCAGACAGACTGACAACTATGACCACCCTGCCAACCCCTTTAAGCTGGTTATTTTAAAATCGTGTTTACAGGGTGACTAAAGGTCCAATGGTCTAGCATTAACGTTTATGCTCTGTGACAGCCTAGGCAAAGGGGCGCTTAGTATCAAGGTAAAGTTTCAAGTCTTTTATTTTCCAATCTATCAATTTTAAAGCAAACAGATGTTCCATCTTTAAAGTTACTGTATTGGGTAAGTATGCAATCAAGACAAATTCAACGTAGCATCGAAGTTATAGCCTTCTCATCTTTGAATATAATGTGAACATTTTAACAAAGAAGAAAAGTCTACAATTTTTGCTACAAATTATTTCTAAATGGTACCTAAGAGTAAAGTAATATTACCTAAGAATGTACTGACACTGGTCATCCAAGAAAACATGGTATGATAACATGGAATTATGCTAAATACCACATTTCCAACTATTACTTACATATCTTAAATTTCATTATTAGTTTATAATTTCAATCAATCCTTTCACTATAGTTCTGTTATTTATGAAAGATACAGAATGGAAGAACTGCAGAGATGATTTTATGTAAAATAAGATTCAAACTACTGTAGATTTCTTTCACCAAGCAGATATAGTGCATCATTATCTGTGTGCTCTGGTGAGATAGCAATGGAGATGCTGACTCGTATATGAGGAAACCCTATTTCTGACACTGTAACTGGCTGCATGACTTTCAATATTTCTTTTCACATCTGAAAAGCAGGGGTATTTCTGATATATTTTTACTAATTCTGAATATTAAATTATTTTAAGCTAATTCTGAATATTAAATAAGATAACCTGAAAACAATCTTTAAACTGTAAACTAGTGTATGTTTATATGTGTGTGTATATATATATATATGATAATGACAAGATATGAAATCTCTTTGCCATTATCAAATAGATGATTACTTTTACAGAAAAAAGAACCATACACAGTACTTTTAGTTTACAAAGCATTTCTCATATATCATCTGTCATTACTTCCAATGACTGACTAGTCTACAAAACAGAATCAGTGTTAGAGCTGAAAGGTAACTTACAGACCACATTGTCCAGCCAAAAGGAAAAGTGATGCCAAGAGAATCTAAGCAATTTGAACAGGGTCACATTGCTGGTTCATGGCAGAGCTGGACTAGAACCCAGGTTTCTGGTCTCCTAATATGCTAAGTTGCGTTTCATTTTCTTGTGTTTTGCCTAGTTTCTTTTTGTATGTACAACAGGAAGTAAACTCATTTTCCTTACTTGGTAGAAGACTTCTGACTTCCTGCTTGTCCTGGTTCATCTTGTTTTAATCCTGCAAGTAGGGCATCCTTTGAACAGTGCTTATCCTTTTTGAGGAAGAGGAAGCAAGAGAATGGCACGTCAAAATCTTTAATGCAGTCAAATGAGTTACTGATCAAATAGTATTTAAAAAGTGTACCTGCAAGTGGGTAATAAAAGAAAACCGCTGTCGCTGAAAAGGCTCACAACCTTCCCAAAGACACTGCCCTGGATATACATCTTTTCCTCCATGTTCAGTTGCTGCATGGTAGAAAACCTGTGAGGGTGTCTGAAACCACCTATAAAAAATAAAAGTAGTAGACACTTGGATGTATTCAAGTATATTTTGAAACTATTTCAAAAATTTCTCTGCTTATATTTCCAAGTGGAATCATCAGTTGTACTGAACACTTTTGGTAAATTGTTTTAACATCCCTTATTCATAATTCCCTACCTTCAATGAAGGCTGACTAAAAATCTCTTAAAAGTGAATGAAATATCATTAAAAACACCATAGAACATTATCTTATAAACAAATACCATACTCTACTGTACTTTCATAAATTTCTCAAGCATTTACTAGATTTCATATTACATATAATAACTCAAGCATATCCAATCCAACAGTTCAAATTCTATAAGTTTTAGTAAGTCTGCCTTTTAAGTTCACATTTATATGTCTGTCCATGTTTTTAAGTCCCATCTCTCACTCCTCCAGCACATACCCTATGATGTCTGAGTGGGCATGTGGCAAAGCACACAAAACTGAAGAAAGTCAGATTTTATTCTCCTTTATTAGACAGTAGGGAAATGAGAGAGAACAGTGGAATCTAGACAGCAAAGAATGTATTAAAAGGCTTCAATTACTAATGAGTAACTCAAATATTTGTGCAATCAATTTTTTTTTTTTTTTTTGAGACGGAGTCTCGCTCTGTCGCCAGGCTGGAGTGCAGTGGTGCGATCTCGGCTCACTGCAACCTCCACCTCCTGGGTTCAAGTGCTTCTTCTGCTTCAGCCTCCCGAGTACCTGGGACTACAAGCACATGCCACCATGCGCGGCTAATTTTTGTATTTTTAGTAGAGACGGGGTTTCACCATGTTGGCCAGGCTGGTCTCGAATTCCTGACCTCATGATCTGCCCGCCTTGGCCTCCCAAAGTGCTGGGATTACAGGTATGAGCCACAGCACCTGGCCATAATCAATATCTTTAAGATCTACAGCAAAGATCTCTTAGGATTTGACTTTTTATGGCTGTCATATTAACATATCTATATTTGAACCAGTTTTTAACGTGTAACAAATATCTAGTATCCCAAATTAATATTCCTTCAGGAATGACTAATATTTTAAAATAAAATTTAATCAAAAAAGTAATTAAATACTGAATTATATAACACAATGTCAGAAAGAGTAAGTTATATATTTAATTTCCATCACATGCATCTATATAAATACCTACAAAAGTATATTGTGAGGCTAAAATCAGTAAATACATTTTGTTTTAGAATTTCGTTTAATTCTCAGAACTCACAATGCTATTTCATTAATATGAAATATGATTTGAGTTCTGTTATACATACTAGTTATTGCCACAAGGAGGCATTTCTTGTTAAGACATTACCTAAATACTATTAAATCATTAATTGCAATATAAAGTCTGCACACACGTGCACACATATACACAGAAACCAAAACCCAAATGTACTACTACTCACTATTCACAATGTCTATTTCTAAACTATTTTTCAATACATACAATTAATCAAGTTTATTTGCAACAATAAAAATGGTGAATGTAGCAGCCATAGGAAAAAGGATAGCACTTCCTTAAATCAATTTTAATTACTAAATATACACAACTATGTATGATTTTAAAACAGATATTTTTAAGTGTTCATTAGTCTATCTGTCCTCAGAGTCTATTTTTCTCTCCAATCTACTACTCTTTTCTTCATTCCAAGTCTATTTTCTCTCTATCTAACTACTCTAGTCATAAAAGCTATTCATTGATTGTTGTGGTGGTTCAAGGTAAAGTTCTAATCTAACTATGAATGAAGCTGGTTGCAATAATCACATGAAGGTGAAAAGTAGTTAAGGGTTCCAAATCCATTAAATGAACTACCTGAATTTTATTTATTTATGAGACAGAGTCTTGCTCTGTCACCCAGGCTGGAGAGCAATGGTGCGATCTCGACTCAATGCAACTTCTGCCTCCCGGGTTCAAGCGATTCTCCTGCCTCAGCCTCCCAAGTAGCTGGGACTACAGGCACCTGCCACCACGCCCAGCTAATTTTTGTATTTTTAGGCAAGACGGGGTTTCGCCATGTTGGCCAGACTGGTCTCGAACTCCTGACCTTGTGATCCACCCGCCTCGGCCTTCCAAAGTGTTGGGATTACAGGCGTGAGCCAGCCACCGTGCCTGGCCGATACCTGAGTTTTAAAAGTTTACGTGTAATATTGGAGAGTTAAACTCTAAAGAAATGTAAAGCAAATAAATACTGAGTTTTCAGAACATTACGGATATTTATTGGATGGGTTGGGAGAAGTGTAAGTGATGAAGCAGAATGCTACCATTTACTGTCATGTCTAGAAAACTGTTCTTAAAACTACTCCAGCAATCACCTCCACTCCCTATCAGCAACCCGCAAATCATAAACAATATGTTCATTTAAGGGAACTGGGAAAATTCAAGAGTATACAAAATAATAAAAATAAAAATTACCTGTGATATATAGCCAAGTATACTAAAATGCTAACATTTTAGTATACTTTCTTTAAGCCTTCTCTGAGTATGTATGTGTTTTTAAACAAAACTGGGACTGTTACTGATATAATTTTATATACTGCTGCCACTCCAGAGTAATATGATACCTTTGTACAAATTATTATTATTATTTGAGACAGAGTCTCACTCTGTTGCCCAGGCTGGAGTGCAGGGGCACAATCTTGGCTCACTGCAACCTGTATCTCCTGAGTTCAAGTGTTTCTTTTGCCTCAGCCTCCCGAGTAGCTGGGATTACGTGCACCACAATGCCTAATTTTTGTATTTTTTTAGTAGAGACAGGGTTTCGGCATGTCGGCCAGGCTGGTTTCAAGCTCCTGACCTCAAGTGATTCGCCTGCCTTGGCCTCCCAAAGTGCTGGGATTACAGGTGTGGGCCACCAAGCCCAGCCCCTTTGTACAAATTAAAATAATACTCTTCCTTAAGATACTTTATTGCCTTGTGCTGAAAAATTGTTGTAATAAATATACCACATATGGCACATACAATGTAACTGGATCCCCCTTTGATGTGTACAACCACAGGCAACAGCTCTGGGCAAAAAAGATTCCTCTGAAATGCATTTTACTCACTGAGAATCTAGTTTTAAAGATGGGTGTGAGGCTTAAATTTGATGATATGTATAAATCTATTTGGAAAATAGTAGGCCAAAAATAAATAAGGGCTATTGTCATCATGATCAGTAATAGTAGCAGTAGTGGTGGTAAGGGGTAGTGGAGGTACTGGTAACGTCTTGTCTCTTCACCTGCCCATCTTGTTAATCCTCTACTCTGAGATCTTCTCCACAACTATTCCAAAATTGCCAAGCTTTGCTAAGTAACGTTTGGTCCACCTTCAAGTTAGTGGCCTCCATTAGCAAGCAACACTCACTATCGCTCACAACTACTTTTATTCATTTCTGCTCCTGAAAATATTCTCCATAGAAACTATCTGCAATTCAACTTTGGTTAAATAGTGAGTTTCAATCTTATTTTAGAGCTTGTCTTCCTCTGTACTTGTGTGTATTTGTAAATTTAGAGACAGTATCTTACATTTGTCTCTGAAAAAAATGCTTATTACTGAAAAAATAAGTTCATTTCATTAGAGCTTTTTTTTTTTTTTTGAGACGGAGTCTCGCTCTGTCACCCAGGCTGGAGTGCAGTGGCGCGATCTCGGCTCACTGCAAGCTCCGCCTCCCAGGTTCACACCATTCTCCTGCTACAGCCTCCTGGGTAGCTGGGACTACAGGCGCCCGCCAGCACCCCCAGCTGATTTTTTATATTTTTAGTAGAGACAGGGTTTCACCGTGTTAGCCAGGATGGTCTCAATCTCCTGACCTCGTGATCCGCCCGCCTAGCTTCTTTAACTTTCTTCTGTACATTAGATCTTCAGTCATTATTCATCCTTTCTTTCTCTAGGATCTCAGCCAAATGTAGCTACTATTTCCCTGGTTAACTCCTTCACTTATATATTGGTGAGACAACCAAGTTAAAAGGGCTCCTCAGAGAATCCCTGACCAGCCTCTGCACTGGAAGGACGGGGTGGAGCCTCGGGAAGTTCGTGCCACTTGCAGAAGGGAGATGCCTGGCCACTCCTCTTCCTGTGTGGTAAGCTGGGATTCAATCTGTGAGGTGGAAAACCTGTTAGCAGGACTCCATCTCACTTTGCTGAGTTGTTTTTCCTTTTCCGTTCTCATCCAGTAAATTCCACTCCTCACACTTCCATGTGTCTATGAGCCTAATCTTTCCTGGTTGTGTGAAAAGAACCCGGTTTTTTCCTACAACATTGGATTCTATTGTGTTTCTTCCTAAATTATCCCCTCTTTTGCATCTTTTATCTTTTCCTCTCTTCTGAATCCCACACTTAAGTATATAAAAACAAATGTTATTCTAACTAGAAGCGATAGAAACAACACTTTTTCTTTGATCCTGCTACTTTTTCAAAAGAAAGGAACCAGAATTTATCAATATCTGGCAAAACAATGCAAAATGTAGTATTTAATATAATTACTGTAACAAGTTTTTGACACTTTTCTCTCAGTCACTGGCGATTTAAAATATATATATATTTTTCAGTTACATCATCACTATAATTTATAATAGTTGGTTTCCTGCTTATTATTTAAATCATTGCAGTGAAAGCTCAGGATTAGCTTCTATTCTTCATTTAATTCCCCTTCAGCCAAATTGTATTTTCTTTTATTCCAGTGAAGAGCTGTTTGGTTCAACTGAGCAAATATTCACATAGGCTACTAGGTACAAATTTCCTGAAATGAAAACCCATTTTCTGGGGAGAAATTCAGGTCTGCTGCAGGAATTTGTATAAGTAACAAGGAGCTGAATGTTAATCACCAAGACAATGGGGAAAATGTCTCCAGGGCATGTCAGAGACCTTCATGGCAGCCTCTCCCCAGAGCCCTAGCAGGACAAAATTATTTCCTGGGCCAGCCCCAGGCCCCCATGCTGCCTGCAGCCTAGGGACTTGATGCCCTGCATCCCAGCTGTTCCAGCCATGGCTAAAAAGGGCCAAGGTACAGCTTGGGCTGTAGCTTCAGAGAGTGCAAATCCCAAGCCTTGGCAGCTTTCACGTGGTGTTGAGCCTGTGGGTACATAAAAATCAAAAATTGAGGTTTGGGAACCTCCACCTAGATTTCAGAGGATGTTTGGGAACCTCCACCTAGATTTCAGAGGATGTATGGAAACATCTGGATGTCCAAGCAGAAGTTTGCTGCAGGGGCAGAACCCTCATGGAGAACATCTGCTAGGGCAGGTCAGAGCCCCACACAGAGTCCCCACTGGGACACTACCTAGTGGAGCTGTGAGAAGAGGGCCATCATCCTCCAGACCCCAGAATGGTAGATAAATGAACAGCTTGCACTGTGCTCCTGGAGAAACCGCAGACACTCAATGCCAACCCATGATGGCAGCTGACCGGGGGGGGCACTGTATCCTGCAAAGCCACAGGGGTGGAGCTGCGCAAGGCTGTAGGAGCCCACCTCGTGCATCAGCGTGACCAGGGTGTGAAACATGGAGTCAAAGGAGATCATTTTGGAACTTTAAGGTTTAATGACTACCCTATTGGATTATGGATTTGGATGGTGCCTGTAGCCTCTTTGTTTTGGCCAATTTCTCCCATTTGGAATGGGTATATATACTCAATGCCTCTATCCCACTGTATCTAGGAAGTAACTAACTTGCTTTTGATTTTACAGGCTGATAGGTGGAAGGGACTTTCCTTGTCTCAAATGAGACTTTGGACTTGGACTTTTTGGTTAATGATGGAATGAGCTCAGACTCTGGGGGACTCCTGGAAAGGCATGATTGTGTTTTGAAATGTGAGGACATGAGATTTGGGAGGGGCCAGGGCAGAATGATACGGTTTGGCTGTGTACCCACCCAAATCTCACCTTGAATTGTAGTTCCCATAATCCTTACTTGTCATAGGAGGGACCCAGTAGGAGGTAACTGAATCATGGGGTTACCCCTATGCTGTTCTTGTGATACTGAGTGAGTTCTCATGAGATCTGATGGTTTTATAAAGGGCTTATCCCTGTTTGCTCAGCACTTCTCTCTCCTGCTGCCATGTGAAGAAGGACATGTTTGCTTCTCCTTCTGCCATGATTGCAAGTTTCCTGAGGCCTGCCCAGCCCTGCAGAAGTGTGAGTCAATTAAACCTCTTTCCTTTGCAAATTACCCAGTCTCTGGCAGTTCTTTATAGCAGCATAAGAATGGACAATACAGATAGTTTCATTTGGAGTTTTCTTATTTACTCAAGGTCTTGGCAGGCTATTTTTCTTTGGTGGCCAAAGAGTATTCCATATCCTTCTTTATAGCCTTCCTACTGAAACAAACAAACAAACAAACTCACCTGACTTAAAATGCAAGGGATTTTTTTTTTTTGCAGGAATATTCTAGTTAAAAAGATGGCACATAAATGTTAATAAATGCACATAAATGTATATGTGAGACTATACATCCAAAAAATTCATACTGCAAACATATTTTAGTTTTAAAAAAGGCTCTATTATTGGTTGCAGAACCATGAACTTGTACCTCAACCCTTGGCATCTGTTTTAGATATATATATTCTATGACAAAAGAAATATCAAGGGCAAGCATTATTATATATTCAAATAAGACTTAGTAACAAGCTGCTAAAATTCTGGGGAAAAAATATACCAACAACCTTGGTGAGAGGCTAACCCAACTTTATTTTATCTAGTTGCAAAAGTTCAAAATAGAAAAAAAGTACTAACTACACTATTAAAGAGAAATTAATTTATTTCCTTAATACATGATGAAACATTATAAATACAAACTGGAAAACTGAAAATCAGTACTGGTATTCTTGGAAACAAAATATTGCTGTTCCTACAAGAATGAATTCTCCAGTCTCAGCTTCTGTGCTACCGTCAATCCAGATTAAAAGTCATAGGTGGGAACAACTGATTGACTAGTGTAGCTGCCAAAGGCAATAGGGGAGGAAGCAAGTATTTGGCCTTCTTGGGGGGCTTTTGTACAAAGATGGGCCCTGCCTCCTAGTAAGACTGAAATTGTAGGAAATATCCCAAATATAGGAAGGGGTTCATATGGGGGATGATCCAAACCAACTGCCCTCAGTTCTGACTCCTTTCCTTTCCTCCTAATAATTATTACAGGAAAAGATTTCTGTATTTGCTCTTTGACCTTCCCACATCAAGTGCTATTAACCCGCCGGTCTGTGAAGCAGTCACTTATTTTACATAGTAAAATATAAAAGTGAATTATCAGGGACTTTGTTTTAAAATGTTTTTAAAATGTGTACCTGCCAAACAAATATGAATATTGGGCTGAAACAGTAGTTCACATTTGAAAAGTGCTATGAAAGCTGATTTGTACAATTCAGGTATTATAACAATGTTTTGTTTGTTTGTTTGTTTGTTTGAGACAGAATCTCACTCTGTTGAGCAGGCTGGAGTATACTGGCATGATCTCTGCTCACTGCAACCTCCACCTCCCAGGTTTAAGTGATTCTCCTGCCTCAGCCTCCCAAGTAGCTGAGATTACAGGCACCTGCCACCATGCCCAGCTAATTTTTGTATTTTTAGTAGAGATGGGGTTTCACTATGTTGGCCAGCTGGTCTTGAACTCGTGACCTCAAGCAATCTGCACACCTCAGTATCCCAAAGTGCTGGGATTACAGGCATGAGCCACCGTGTCTGGTCAACAATGTTATTCTTAATAAGCTAAACATAAACTTGGAGATAAAATAAAAATAAGTGATGATGTGTATATCTGTGTGGTTTTAATGAAATAAAAAAAGCATACCAAATAATTTTAAACTTTTAAATTCTAGCTTATTCATTCATTCTTCTCTTTGAAAGATATGCTAGCACATCAGTTCACACTGTTCTTGACAAAGCTGCACATAGCGCAAAGTACGTCTCCACTTGAACTTCTGTTTGCTCAGAACTTACTATGTATCTGGCATATTCACATATATCATCTTATTTGATTCCCATGACTGCTCTTTGAACATAAAATTATCCCTTTACTGCTGAGGAAGTGGGCTTTCAAAAAGTAACTTTTCCAGAGTTATACAGCTAAGTAACAGAACTGGGATTTGAAACCTGGTATGTCTAACATAAAAGACCTGATTTTCTCCTTCTATGTGATACTACATAATTGTTTACTCAAATACTACACATAGATGTATTACTAGGTAAAAATGGGGGTATATTTTTATATACAGTATCTGTGATATCATACTGGCAAATAAATTCTGAAAGCATACTAGATAAGAGGTTAGCATTGGTATATAATTCTCCTTATTTTACGCACAAGTTTCCAAGGAATAAATAAGGTTTGTTTCTTTGTTTTTGTTTTTGCTGAAGTACATACTAGATTCTCACCCTAGGAAATTCTTTTCCCAACTATTGTAAATATTTGATAACAAAAATGTCTTCAACATGATTTGGCAAATTCTTCTCATTGTTATGTAACCTTTTGGCATTTGATAACATCTTTAAGTAATCAAATTCTTTGGTATTCAATGTTTAAAATAATAGAGCAAGGTAAAAATTCTACTACTATGTGTGGTAGAAATCAGGGTATTTCCTAGTTAAAAAAATTATTTATGGCAAATCAGTAGTTAAGGCCTAAGGAACACATATTTCTCAAACTGATGTTACCAAAAATAAATTATTAAATGAAATTAATCTCACATTTATGAAGGCTCATTAGTTCAAATTATAAGGATAGTAATATTAGCAAAATATCTAGTATTTTAGCGCTCTCACACAAAATATTTTATCAACCTAGAAACAGCAAGATGACGACAACTTGTTATCCTGACAATTGAAAATGCAAGATGCCAACAGGCTAAGTCAGCAAAGAACTGATGACTTTAGAATCAAGCTAGGTAAACTTCATTCATTTAACTTAGTCAAAAATATGTTAGTTAAAAGCATTTTATGTGCAAGGCATTGTGCTAATACCACAAAACTTCAGAAAACAACATATAACCCTCTGAAGATCTCTTCTGGTTTTATGACCACAAAATTGAGACAAATGATGCTACAAAACTAATTTCAATTTGTTTCTCCCACTGACATTTAAGTCAAGCTATTGATCAATCTAACTACTGATTAATTTCAACCTAAATTGGCAGTTTACCTAAAATTAAACAGTATTTGCTAAGGCATGTTATCATGAATTTAAAAATTCCACTTGGATATTTTACTCTTTCAAGTATTTTCACATTATCAAGATGGCAGTTTTATGTGTAACATTCAGCTCGTCTTTAGATACTTCAATACTTTTGGAAGAAGTAGAAGTAATCATGTAAATCAATCTACCTTTGTTCTAGAAAACAAATTCTAGCTACCTGTAAGTTTTTAATCACTTGCAAAATATAGTGAAGTTGGTGTCTGTTGTTGTTTTCAGTAATTTTCTATCAGACAAAGCATTATTCGTACTTTAGCCAGTTCGGTACAAAAGTCTTATTCCGGGACTTCTGGGTCATGGTGAAGTAGGCTCTCACCTGGAGGCAGAGAAGTTTGACTTATGGGAATAATCACCAAGGCCCACAAAGGAGACCTGGGCCTTGGGGTCCCAAAGTAAAAAAGAAAGAAGGTCATCAAAGAACTGGAGACTTAATCTCAATTTTAAACAATGACAATCATTTTGTTGATGTTTCTCCTATAAGAGCCACATCCCGCTCTAAGAGTGTGGTACAAGCGCGGACACCAGAGATGCCTCTAGTGAAAACAAAGACAAGCCTTAGCACCCTAAGGAGCACCTAGAACCTGAGGCCATGTTGTGTGACAGACAGACAGGGAAGTCACCCAGCCCCAGGAAGCAGGCGCTTTGCCACTTGGAGTTCCTCAGCAGGAAGAAGAAAAAGAAGTGACCTCTGGCATGTTCCACGGCTCTGGGGTGAAAACCTCCCCAGATCCCAGACACAGTGAGGAGGAGACCAGAGTTGGCGAGAAGTTCAAAAAACACAAGAGGGAAAAAAAGGGGCACAGGAACCCAGAGCCTTCTCAGTCCAGGACCCTTGATTCTGCAAGGAAAGGAATGTTGCCTACATTTGCTCAGTGAGGAAGGAGGGCAAGGAGCAGGCAGCCTTGGGGCAGAACGGAAGCAGGGGAAGCCCAGGGAACACAGTGGTTAAGTGAAGAAGACAAAAAAATCCACCGGAAGGGAGACAACCTCCTAGGCCACACCCCAAGCCCTCCAGGTCCATGAAGTGTATGTAGCCTTAGGATACGAAGTAAAAAAAAGCCAGTCAAAATTGAGGCTCCAAAATACATCGCAATATGCGATGGCCCTAAGGTCACAGCAAAGAAGAAACTGAAGTCCAAGAAAAACAGAGCAGCCACTCACTGAGGACGTGGCTCTGAAAAGGAAAAAAAGAAGAGGAAAGAGAGTGGGGTAGCAGGAAACTCGTGGAAAGAGAAAACAGACAGACACAGAGGTTATGTTGGAAAAGAAAGGCAACATGGACAAGGGGCACACAGACCAGGTGAGGTGGAAGGCCTTGCAACAGACTGATCTTTAGCTGGGCAAAAGAGAAGCTTCTGAAACCAGGAAGTGGACAGTAACCCAGTTTGGCCAGTAGGATACTGGTTTTAAGAACAAGGAACAGAAATGGAAATTTCTCAAACATGGGTGGATTCAAAAATCTGACCCCTTCATTCAGCTGCCCCCCTAGCATGACTGCAAGGCCCAACATGACCCTCAGCAAGAAGGCAGCAAATAGCCTGCAGCAGAACCTGCAGCAGGACTACAACTAGGCCATGAGCTGGAAGTTCAACCTAGGAGCAGGCTTTGGCTTCTCCAATGCCTCAAACAAAATCTTTTATATTGGCAGGAATGCTTCCAAGTCAAGTTCGAAGATTAAACTCTAGTGTTGTGTCCCCCCAAACAGCCAAAACTGCATTTATATTCACTTATGCAGATGAACGCCATCTGACAGTTGTCTTGAATCCAACACCTGCAAAGATTAAGGACACTATCTCGATAGGCTTGGACAAACTGGGGTAGGGGCAGAGAATATGTCAATGGCTAAAACTTCCTGTTTTATGTATTTAACATTCCATGCCTGTTTGAGACATCAGCATGTATAAATAACATCTGTTAAGTGTTGAGCATGTGCTAGACACAGACTCAAGTGTTTTCCTTGCATTAATGTGTTTAATCTTCATAATTATAAAATGAGTGCTATTATTATCCCCATCTTATCCATGAGGCAACTGAGGTTCAGGGATAAAGTAATAAAATTGCCTGGGTCACCCAACAAATAAACAAACAAACAAAAAAATTATTCTGGCTTGTACAGTAGGAGTAATTATACCTTACAATAGGAACTTTAGGAGGAAT
Source organism: Homo sapiens (assembly GCF_000001405.40). NCBI lineage: Eukaryota > Metazoa > Chordata > Mammalia > Primates > Hominidae > Homo > Homo sapiens. Next base: position 45,880,456 of record NC_000012.12, on the reverse strand, counting down.
TGTAACTGTATAAGGTTCAGTAGGAACCTGGTGATTTGAACCTCAACATCACTTGGGTAGATTTCCTGGGCAGTTGGGGAATTATCAGTTTTATCAGTACCAAGTAAAAGTCCCTCCTTCATAGACAGACAAGTTTTCACACAGGAAATATTTGTTTAGAATATATTTGAGATCCTCTATATTCCTGGTTTGACTTTCAATAATGCAATTCTAAATACAAATATAATGTAGATTTTATTCCTCTTAAGGGAAAATAATTTTCATCTTTCTGTAGCAGTTTTTAACGAGAAATATATGAGGAGCAATAGATTCCAGAAAAGTGTTTTTCAAATGTCTTTTTAGCAACAGAATCTTCAAACAAAATATTACTTAAAACCCCTATATATAAAACAAAAGCAAAACTCCTATGTTTAAAGGCAAGGTAGAGGGCCTTTCTTAACTTTGCCTGACACCACTTATTCAAAGAACACTGTAGCCTAGAAAAATAAAGTCCTAAAAACACTTAATATAAACTCCACTATTCAAAGGCATCAAGTCCTTTTCTCCAATTACACAGAATTTAAACAGCAATTCATAGATATTTTTAAATAAAGGACACTTTTGAGGGAGTCTCAAAAATGTTTTATACAATCACACATTATTTATACATTTCAAGGATAAACTAATAGTCAACATTGTGCTTAATGATGATAAACAAGGATAAAAGATAATGATGAGGACTTTCAGTTTCCTTTCAAACATGTAAAAAGCTGCAAGTCATCAGTCCCATCCTCACAATAAGAAATAAGATGAACAAACTGAAAATTTACAACTCCTCCTGGATCTGTCAGAGAACTGAGGTCACAGGGCAAACTACCACTCTGAAAGCTGGAGAGACCCTTGAATACAGAGAATCAGCCCTTATAGCTGGAGCCCGTAACTTGCAGGAACCCTTAAACAGCAACTGACAAACTGCTAATCTTCACAATTAAAAACCCTTGGGGCGGGAGGTCAGTTTCTGTGGAGAACCCATACTTTTGTGTGAATTACCTTCAGAGTCCAGGATCTCACAGTGAAGACTGAAGAAAAATTTCTCCCTGCTTCCAGGAATGGAAGGGGGTGAGTAAACATTTCTAATATGCCCAGACTGTTCTCTTCACCTTACAAAGGTCTGTCTCATGAAAAACGACTTTACCAGAGCCTTATCTGACTTACAGGAAAAGCAATTAGAAAACACGGGCCCTCTCTAGACTTTTCGTCTTACACAGGAGAAAAAAAATAAAGGCTGAAAAACTTACCAAAGTCGCAGCCCTTAGATGAAGGCCGACTTTTTTAAAGTGAGATTTAATCATAAGATTATAGAATATTTCACCTCCCCATTACCTTACCACTGTATCAACAGGTTTCCAGTATAGTATAACAGTGTATTAGAACTGAGAGAGCTACAAGATACAGGCTATATTTAAAAAGGAGTTTCTAAAAAAAATCCAACAACAACAAAGGAAGAAAAAAAAGGACATCAGGGAATACTGAAGCTTCTGACACCTACAGCTACAGCAAACATTAAACATAGCCTAAATTCTAACCAGATAAACATAAAACCTCACGCCAAAGGCTATTTACCTCAGATGCTTAACTGAAACATCCTGTCTGACTTAACAAAAACTGACAAGGCACGCCAAAAGTATAAAAACAAACAACCCCCGCCCACCACCACACACACGGTCAGAAGAGGCAAAGCTAACATTAGAACCAGACTCAGATATCACACAAATTTTGACATTTTCAGACTGAGAATTTAAAATAATTATAATAAATATGCTAAGACTAATGGAAAAAGTGAACATCAAGAACAAATGAATAATGTAAGCAGAGATGAGATGCTAAGAATAAAAAGAAAATGCTAGAAATATGAAAAAAACTGTAACAGAAATAAACAATGTCTTTCATAGACTCATCAACAGACTGGATACAGATAAGGAAAGAATCAGTGGACTTGAAGATGTAAGTAAGATATGTCAACAGGAACTTCCCAAACTGAAAAGCAAAGGGAACAAAGAATAGAGGAAACAAACAGAATATTCAAGGACTGTGGGGTGATAACAAAAGCTGCAAATATATGCAGTGGGAATACCATAAAGAGAAGAAAAAGAGAAAGAACACAAAAAATATTTGAAGTAAGAACGAAGTGAGAATTTTCCAAAACTAATGTCACACAAGAAATCACAGATCCAGGAAACACAGACAACACTAAACAAGATAAATATTAAAAAATCAACACCTAGCCACATCATATTCAAACTTCCAAAAACCAAAGACAAAGAAAAAAACCTTCACAGAATTAAGAGGGAAAAAACCAACTTACTGATGGAAGGACAAGGAGAAGAATACACTGATGTCTCTTTAGGAATAATGCAAGCAAGAAGAATGGAATGAGATATTTAAACTGTTGAAAGATAAACATCCACTAACCTAGAATTTTGTATCCAGTAAAATCACTCTTCAAAAGTCAAGGAGAAATAGACTTTCTCAGACAAACAAAAACTGAGGCCATATGCACCAGGAGACTTGCTTCACAAGAAATGTTAAAAGGAGATCTTCAGAGAAGGAAAATATAGAGGTCAAAACTTGAATTTACATAGAGTAAGGAAGAGTGTTAGAGAAGAAATCAATAGAAGCAAAATATTTCTTTTTCTTACTTTTGATTGATCTAACAGATAATAAAAAATAACAATAGTATATCTGGTGATTATAGCTTACAGATAAGTGAAATGAGTGACAGTATGTAAAGGACATAGTATAAGGCAACGGTCACCAACCTTTTTTGGTACCAGGGACCACTTTCATGGAAGACAATTTTTCCATGGACCAGGGGTTGGGGGGATGGTTTTGGGATGATTCAAGCGCATTACATTTATTGTACACTTTATTTCCATTATTACTCATTGTACCATATAATGAAATAATTATACAACTCACCATAATGTAGAATCAATGGGAGCCCTGTGCTTCTTTTCCTGCAACTAGATGGTCCCATCTGGGGGTGATGGGAGAAGTGACAGATCATCAGGCATTAGGTTCTCATAAGGAGCATGCAACCTAGATCCCTCGCATGCACAGTTCACAACAGGGCTTGCGCTCCTATGAGAATCCAATGCCGCCACTGATCTAACAGGGGGCAGAGCTTAGGTGGTAATGCAAGCAATAGGGAGCGGCTGTAAATACAGATGAAGCTTTGCTTTTTTGCCTGGCACTCACCTCCTGCTGTGCAGCCTGGTTCCTAACAGGCCACGGACCAGTACCTGTATAGCAATACACAGGTACATCCCATTTTATTGCATGTTGCTTTATTATGCTTTGCAAATACTTTTTTTTTTTTTTTTTTTGAGATGGAGTCTCACTCTGTCACCCAGGCTGGAGTGCAGTGGCGTGATCTGGGCTCACTGCAAGCTCTGTCTCCTGGGTTCACGCTATTCTCCTGCCTCACCCTCCCAAGGAGCTGGGACTACAGGTGCCCACCACCAGGCCTGGTTAATTTTTTTGTATTTTTTTAGTAGAGATGAGTTTTCACTGTGTTAGCCAGGATGGTCTCGGTCTCCTGAACTTGTGATCCGCCCACCTCAGCCTCCCAAAGTGCTGGGATTACAGGCGTGAGCCACCACGCCCGGCCTTTTTTTTTTTTTTAATTGAAGGTTTGTGGCAACCCTGTGACAAGCAAGACTATCAGCACCATTTTTCTAACAGCATGTGCTTGCTTCCTGTCTTTATATCACATTTTGGTAATTCTCACAATATTTAAAACACTTTCATTATTACTATATCTGTTATAGTGATCTGTGATCAGTGATCTTGATGTCACCTTTGTAAATGTTTTGGAGTGTAAATGTTCTGTGTCTTTTTTTTTTTTTCCTTTTTTTTCTTTTTTTGAGATGGAGTTTCGCTCTTGTTGCCCAGGCTGGAGTGCAACGGCACAATCTCTGGCTCACCGCAACCTCCACCTTCCGGGCTCAAACGATTCTCCTGCCTCAGCCTCCCTACTAGCTGGGATTACAGGCATGTGCCACCACATCTGGCTAATTTTGTATTTTTAGGAGAAACAGGGTTTCTCCATGTTGGTCAGGGTGGTCTTGAACTCCCAACCTCACGTGATCCACCCGCCTCGGCCTCCCAAAGTGCTGGGATTACAGGCGTGAGCCACTGCACCCAGCCAAATGTTATGTGTCTTTTGAGTACTCCATTGACTGGCTGTTACCTTCATCTCTCTCTCCATCCTTAGGGCTCCCTGATACACCATTCAACAATAATGAAATTAGGCCAATTAATAACCCCACAATGGCCTCTCAGTGTTCAAGTGAAAGGAAGAGTCGTATGTCTCTCACTTTAAATTAAAAGCTAGAAATGATTAAGTTTAGTGAGAAAGGTATGGCAAAGCTGAGAAAGGCTAAAAGCTATGCCTCTTGCACCAAACAGCCAAGCTGTGAATGTAAATGAAAAGTTCTCAATGGAAAATAAAAGTGATTCTCAAGTGAACACCCAAATGTCAGGAAAGTGAAAGAGCCTTGCTGATATGGAGACAGTTGTAGAGGTCTGGATAGAATATCAAACCAGTCAAGACATTCTATTAAGCCAAAGCCTAATCCAGAGCAAGGCCCTAAACTCTCTTAAATTCTATGCATAGGTTGAGAGAGGTAGAGAAGCTGCAGAAGAAAAGTTTGAAGCCAGCAGAGGTTGCTTCATGAGGTTTAAGAAGCCATCTCCATAACATGAAAGTGCAAGGTAAAGCAAGTCCTGATGCAGAAGCTGCAGCACGTTATCCAGAAGACCTAGCTAACATCATTGATAAAGAATGCTACACTAAGCAACAGATTTTCAATAAAGATCAAACAGCCTTTTACTGGAAGAAGATGATATCTAGGTCTAGGACTTTCATAGCTAGAGAGGAAAAGTCAATACCTGGCTTCAAAGCTTCTAAGATTCTAAGAAAGGCTGACTCTCATTAGCAGCTAATGCAGCTGGTGACTTTAAGTTGAAGTCAATGCTCATTGGCCATTCTGAAAATCTGAGGACTCTTAAGAATTATGCTAAATCTACATTGCCTGGGCAACATCAAAGCCTAGATGATAGCACATTTGTTTACAGCATGGTTTACTGAGTATTTTAAGTCTGCTATTGAAACTTACCACTCTGATGAAAAGATTTATTTCAAAACAGTACCACTCACTGACAATGTATCTAGGTGCCCAAGAGCTCTGATGGAGCTCTACAAGGATATGAATGTTGTTTTCATGCTGCTAACACAACATCCATTCTGCAGCCCATGGAACAAGCAGTCACTTCAACTATTTTTTATTTTTTTGAGACAGGGTCTCACTCTGTTGCTGAGGATGGAGTGTAGTGGTACATCTCCGCTCACTGCAAACTCCGCCTCCTGGGCTCAAGCGATCCTTCCACCAAAGCCTCCTGAGTAACTGGGACCACAGGCAAGGGCCACCATCACCACCTATTTTTTATTTTTTTTGTAGGAACAAGGTCTTGCTATATTGCCAGCCTCATCTTGAACTCCTAGGTTCAAGCCATCTTCCTGCTTTGGCCTTCCAAAGTGTTGAGATTACAGGCATCAGCCACTGTGCCTGGCCTCAACTTTCAACTCTTGTTCCTTAAGGCTATAGCTGCTATAGATAGTAATTCCATGGATAGATCTGGCAAAGTAAATTGAAAATCTTCTGCAAAGGATTCTCTAATGCTAGTTGCCACTAAGAACATTCGTGATTCATGGGAGGAGGTCGAAATATGAACATTAGCAGGAGTATGGAAGAAATTGATTCCAATTCTCATGAATGACTTTGAGGATTCAAGGCTTCAGTGGAGGAAGTAACAGCAAATATGATACAAATAGCAAGAGAACTAGAAGCAGAGCCTAAAGATGTAACTGAATTGCTAAAATCTTATGATAAAATTTGAATGGATGAGGAGTTGCTTCTTAGGGATGAACAAAGAAAGTGGTTTCTTGGGGTAGAATCTACTCCTGGTGAAGATGCTGTGAACACTGTTGAAATGATAGCAAAGGCTTTAGAATATTACATAAACTTAGTTGATAACATAGCAGCAGGGTTTGAGAAGACTGACTCAATCTTTTTTTTTTTTTTAAGAGACAGGGTCTTGCTCTATTGTCCAGGTTGGAGTGCAGTGGCTATTTACAGGCACTATCCTAGTACTGATCAGCGTTGGAGTTTTGACTTGCTCCATTTCTGACTTGGGCTAGTTCACCCTTCCTTAGGCAACCTGGTGGTCCCTACTCCCAGGAAGTCACCATACTGATGCCGAACTTAGTGCAGACAACCAGTCAGTGTAGTGTGCTACAGCCCAGAACTCTTGGACTCAAGCAATCCTCCTTCCTCAACCTCCCAAATAGCTGGGAGTACAGGAATGCACTGCTGCTTGATTCCAATTTTGAAAGAAGTTCTACCGTGGGTAAAATGGTATCAAGCAGCATCTCATGCTACAGCAAAATCTTTTGTGAAAGGAAGAGTCCAGTGATGTGGCAAACTTCATTACCTTATTTTAAGAAATTGACATGACTACCCCAACCTTCAGCAACCACTATCCTGATCAGTCAGCAGCCATCAATATCGAGGCAAGACCTTTCACCAGCAAAAAGATGATGACTTGCTAAAGGTTCAGATGATCATTAGCATCTTTAGCAGTAAAGCATTTTTAATTAAGGTATGTACCTTTTTATTTTAGACAAAATGTTATTGCACACTTAATTAACTACAGTATAGTGTAAACATTACTTTTAAATGCACTAAGAAACAAAAATATTTATGTGACTTGCTTTATTGTGATATTTGCCTTCTTGTGGTGATCTGGAACCAAACATGCAATATCTCTGAGGTATGCCTGTACTATTGTTTGAAAGTCATCTTAGATTAACTATAAATGTATACTGCAAACTCTAAAATAACCACAAATGAAAAAGTTAAAGAAATATGATTGATATCCGAAGAAAGGGGAGAAAATGGCAACATAAAAAGTGCTCAGCTAACATCAGAGAAGGCAGAAAAATGGGACAGCAGAAAAAGAACAAGTGCATTTACAAATATGATAGCTATCAATGCAACTACAGTGAAAATCACATTAAATGAGAATGATCTAAATACACGAATTAAAAGACAGAGAGGATAATAAGACCCAACTATGTATTGTTAAAATAAAGACACAGATTAAAAGTAAAGGGATGGAGAAAGATAAACTATATTAACACTAATTAAAAGTAAGCTGGAGTGGCAATAATTATTTCAGACAAAGCAGACTTCAGAGCAAGGAAAATTATCGTGGATCAAGAGGGGCATTACATAATGATAAAGAAAACCTAACAATCTTCTCCAAGAAGATATAGCAATCCTTAAGATATATGTACTGAACATAAAGCATCAAAACATGTGAGTCAAACACTGATAGAACTGCAAAGAGAAAGAACCAAATCCACTATTATAGTTGAAGACTTCAACATACCTCTATCAGTAATTGACAGATCCAATAGGCAGAAAATCAGTAAGGATATAGTTGAATTGAACAGCACCATCAATCAACTGGATCTAATTGATATTTACTGAATACTTCATCCAACAATATATTCTTCTCAAGCTCACATGGAACATCCACCAAGATAGACCACAATCTGGGACATAAAACACACCTTAGCAAATTTAAAAGAATAGAAATCATATGTATACTCTGAAACCACAATGGAATTAAATAGTAATTGATATGGTTTGGCTGTGTCCCCACCCATGCGGTTACGCCCGTGCTGCTGTTCTCCTGATAGTGAGTGAGTTCTCACGAGATCTGACGATTTTATAAGGGACTTTTCCCCTCTTTGCTTGGCACTTCTCTCTCTTGCTGCCATGTGAAGGACGTGTTTACTTCCCTTTCTGTCATGATTGTTGCTTTCCTGAGGCCTTCCCAGCCATGCAAAACTGTGAGTCAATTAAACCTTTATTCTTTATAAGTTACCCAGTCTCGGGTATGTCCTTAAAGCAGTGTGAGAACAGATTAATAGAGAAATCAATAACAAAAAGATAGCTAGAAAATACCAAAAACATTTGGAGTCTAAATAACACATTTTTGCAATATTTCGAACTAGAGGAAAATGAAAATACAACATAATCATAATTTCTGGATATAGTAAAAGTAGTACTTAGAGGGAAGGCTTTAGCATTGAACTTATATACTAAAAAAGAAGAAAGATCTAAAATAATAATGCAAGCTTCTACCTTAGGAAACTAGACAAAGAAGAGCACATTAAACCCAAAGCAGGCAGAAGAAAAAAAATAATAAAAGAGCAGAAATTAATGAAACTGAAAACAGGAAATCAACAGAAAGAAAAAAATTTAACAAAACCAAAAGCTGGTTCTTTGGGGGAAAAAAAATTCAATAAAATACATAAACCTGTAGCTAACCTAACCAAGAAAAAATAACAGAAGATACAAATCATTAATATCAGAAATGAAAAAGGGACCATTACTACCAATCCCATGGACATTAAAAGGATGCTAATAAAGAAACAGAAATATCTCTATGCTCACATATTTGATAACTTAGATGAAATCGGCCAATTCCCTGAAAGACACAATCTGCCAAAACTCACTCAAGGAGCAACAGATAATCTGAATAACATTGTAACTATTAAAGAAATTGAATCAATAATTAATAACCTTCAAAACAGAAAGTACCAGGACCACAGGTTTCTCTGCTGAATTCACAACAAATAATTAAAGGAAGGAATGATATAAATTCTCTACAATCCCTACTCCCTACCAGACAATAGAAGCAGAGGGAACACTTTCTAACTTATTCTATGAGGACAGCATAACCCTATTACCAAAATCAGACAAAGACATTACAAGAAAACTACATCCCAGAATCTTGCATGAATATAGAGGAGAACATCCTCAGGAAAAATATTAGCAAATTGTATCAAACAATGCATAAAAAAGAAATATATGCCATGACAAAGTAAAATTTATTACAGGGACACAAGGCTGGTTGAAGCAAAAATTGAAGTAATCCATCACATTCACAAGACAAAAAATAAAAATCATATGATCATAGCAATAGACGCAGAAAAGCATTTGACATAATCCATTATCTACTCATGCCAAAAGCTCTCAGCAAACAACCAAATTAAAAATGGGTTAAATATCTGAATAGACACCCACCAAAAAGATATACATATGGTAAATAAACAAACAAAAAGATGCTCAGCATCATATGTTTTTAGGGAACTAGAAATTAACAGATATACCAACACACACCTATCAGAATGGCTCATATCTAAAACACTGACAAAACTAAATGTTGGCAAGGATATGAAGCAACAAAATTCTCATTCACTGCTGGTAGGAATACAAAATCGTACAGACACTTTGGAAGACAGATTCACAGTGTCTTACAATGTTAAGCATAGTCTTTATCATATGATCCAGCAATTATAATCCTAGGTGTTTGCCCAAATGAGTTAGTTGAAAAACTACATCCACACAAACTTACACATAAATGTTTATAACACCTTAGTTCAAAATTGCCAGTAATTGGAAGCAATTATGACACTGTTCAATAGACGAATGGATAAGCAAACTATGTACATCTGTATAATAAAATATTATACAGAAATAAAAAGAAATGAGCTATCCAACAATAAGAAGACATGGAGAAAACTTATGTGCATATTACTAAGTGAAAGAAACCAGATTAAAAAGGATACTGCTGAATAATTCCAACTATATTACATTCTGGAAAAATGAAAACTATAGAAATAGTAAAAAAAATGAGTGGCTGCCAGGAACTGGGGGCGAGGGAGGGGGTGAGGAGGAATAAATAGGTAAAGCAAAATGGATTTTTAGTGTAGTGAAGGTACTCTGCATGTTACTGTAATGTTGGAGACATGACATTACGCATTTGTCAAAACCCACAGAACTGTAGAAAGGATGAATCTGAATGTAAACTATGAACTTTAGTTAATACTAGTGTATCAATATTGGCTCATCAATTATCACATGTGTACCACACTAATGCAAGGTGTCAATAATAGTGGAAACTGTGTGCAGGGAGGACGGAGATATGGGAACTCTATTCTGTCTGCTCGATTTTTCCATAAACCTAAAACTGCTCTAAAAAAACGTGGTTTTGGCCGGACACAGTGGCTCACGCCTGTAATCCCAGCACTTTGGGAGGCCGAGGAGGGTGGATCAGGAAGTCAGGAGATCGAGACCATCCTGGCTAGCACAGTGAAGCCCCGTTCTCTACTAAAAATACAAAAAAAGTTAGCAGGGCATGGTGGCGGGCGCCTGTAGTCCCAGCTACTCAGGAGGCTGAGGCAGGAGAATGGCGTGAACCCAGGAGGCGGAGCTTGCAGTGAGCCGAGATCGCGCCACTGCACTACAGCCTGGATGACAGAGCAAGAGTCTGTCTCAACAACAACAAAAAAAATGGTTTATTAGCTTTAAAAAAGATATGGATGAATATTATCACTATTGTGCAATTGTGCTGAAAACATTAGACTTGTTTGTTTGTTTTTGTTTTGTTTTGTTTTTGAGGTGGAATCTTGCTCTGTCACACAGGCTGGAATGCAATGGCATGATCTCAGCTCACTGCAACCTCCACCTCCCCGGTTCAAGCAATTCTCCTGCTTCAGCCTCCTTATTAGCTGGGATTACAGTCGCCCGCCACCACGCCTGGCTAATGTTCACATTTTTAGTAGAGACGGGGTTTCACCATATTGGCCAGGCTGTTCTCAAACTCCTGACCTCAAGTGATCCATCTGCCTCGGCCTCCCAAAGTGCTGAAATTACAAGCATGAGCCACGACACCTGGCCTAGACATTATAATTGGATAAGACAAAATATGAAGTATAAATATAGAAAACACCTATCAGTTGAAAAATATAATGGAAGTTGAGATCATTTATAACAACTAAATATAAGACTACCACCTAGCAATAAACTTAATAAAGTACAAAATTCATGCGAAGAAAAGTCAAGAAGCTCTATTGGAAAAAAAAAAGTAATAACATGGGCTGATACCTTTTCCAGTAAGGGAAATCTAAAAAAAAGTGCTCACTATCAAAAAATAAACAAAAAACTGTTCATTAAAAGCAATCGCGGCCGGGCACGGTGGCGCACGCCTGTAATCCCAGCACTTTGGGAGGCCGAGGCAGGCAGATCACGAGCTCAGGAGTTCGAGACCAGCCTGGCCAATATGGTGAAACCCTGTCCCTACTAAAAATACAAAAATTAGCTGGGCATGGTGGCACGTGCCTGTAATCCCAGCTACTCAGGCTGAGGCAGGCGAATCGCTTGAACCTGGGAGGCGAAGGTTACAGTGAGCCAACATCTTGCCAATGTACTCCAGCCTGGGTGACACAGCGAGACTCCATCTCAAAAAAAAAAACAAAAAGCAATTGCAACCCAAATCCCAACATGCCTTTCTTGGCAATCTCGAGAAATAAATCTGATTTATACATCACTCTAATTTCAAAACCCGGCACAGTGCCTAGTATAAAGTAGTTGCTCAAATAAATCATAAAAAACTGCGAAGAATCAGCAGGGGCAAACTGCCATGTCCAAAGTTAAAATACATTTAAAGTGATAGTGTAATAAGGACAGAGATCAAGGGGATAACAAGTGATCCAGAAATAGGCACAGCATTTATAGGATTAGTATATGACAAAGGTGGCAATTCAAATGTCTGAGGGAAAGATGATTGCCAATAAGTTAGCCATTTGGAAAATAATTAAGCTAGGCTCATACCTCATTTTATACATCAAGCTAAATTACAAATTAATCAAAAAGTAAAAATATTAATGTATTACAAAGCAAAAAATGTGCATTTTATGATATAAAAGTTGAAAAGGTCTTTCTAAGCACGACATGAAAACCATTAAGATTTAAATTTTATGTAGCAAAATATGGCTAAAGTCTCGAGACGTGGGGTGGACACATAATAAAGAGATGATATCCTTCTTTTTTTCCTCTTTGAGACAGAGTCTCGCTTTGTCACCCAGGCTGGAGTGCAGTGGCACAATCTCGGCTTGCTGCAACCTCTGCCTCCTGGGTTCAAGCGATTCTCGTGCCTCAGCCACCCAAGTAGCTGGGATTACAGGTACCCGCCACCATGCCTAGCTAATTTTTGTATTTTTAGTAGAGACAGGGTTTTGCCATGTTGGCCAGGCTGGTCTCGAACTCCTGACCTCAAGTGATCTGCCTGCCTTGGCCTCTCAAAGTGCTGGGATTACAGGTGTGAGCCACCACGCCTGGCCAAGAGTTGACATCCTTAATGTACAGAGAAGTATTGCAAATTTTTAGGAAGGGCAATAAAGAATGAGCAAATGACACGAGTAGATAATTCACAGAAGAAAATCATAAAGATATTTAACTCAATACTTGAAATAAAAATTAAAACAGGAGCTGGGGAATGGTAAGATGAAGAGGCAGAATACAAAAGATTTTTAGGGCAATAAAACTATTCTGTATACTGTAATGGTGGACACATGTTATTATATTAATAGTTGTCAAAACCCATAGAGTGGTCAGGTGCAGTGGCTCATGCCTGTAATCCCAACCCTTTGTGAGGCCAAGGTGGGAGAATTGCTTGAGACCAGGAGTTCAAGACCAGCTTAGGCAACATAGTAAGACCCCATCTGTACAGAAGTTTTTTTTTCTTTTTTTTTTTTTTGAGATGGAGTCTCGTTCTGTTGCCCTGGCTAGAGTGCAGTGGCGCGATCTGGGCTCACTGCAAGCTCCGCCTCCAGGGTTCATGCCATTTTCCTGCCTCAGCCTCCCGAGTAGCTGGGACTACAGGCGCCCGCCACCATGCCCGGCTAATTTTTTTGTATTTTTAGTAGAGACGGGGTTTCACTGTGCTAGCCAGGATGGTCTCGATCTCCTGACCTCACGATCAGCCCGCCTCGGCCTCCCAAAGTGCTGGGATTACAGGCATGAGCCACTGCGCCCGGCCAGCACAGAAAATTTTAAAATTAGCTTAGAAAAAAGTTAAAATTAGGTGGGTGTGGTGGTCACATCTGTAGTCCTAGCTACTCAGGAGGCTGAGGCGGGAGGGATCACTTGAGCTCAGGAAGTTGAGGTTACAGTGAACTGTGATCATCCCACTAAACTCTAGCATGGATGACAGAACAAGACCTTGTCTCAGAAAACAAACAAGTAACAACAGGCTGGGTGCAGTGGCTCATGCCTGTAATCCCAGCACTTTGGGAGGCCAAGGTGGGTGGATCAGGAGGTCAGGAGTTCAAGACCAGCCTTCCCAACATGGTGAAATGCCATCTCTACTAAAAATACAAAAATTAGCTGGGCATGGTGGCACGCACCTGTAGTCCCAGCTACTCAGGAAGATGAGCCAAGAGAATCGTTTGAACTTGGGAGGTGGAGGTTGCAGTGAGCCGAGATCACCCCACTGCACTCCAGCCTGGGTGATGAAGTAAGACTCCATCTCCAAACAACAACAACAACAACAACAACAACAACAACAACAAACTTCACAAAACAACCCAACAAAACAAAACCCCCAGAATGTACAATGTCAAGAGCAAATCTTAATGTAAACAATGGACTTTGGGTGATAATGATGTGTCAATGTAGGTTAACCAGTTATAACAAATGTACCATTCCTATAAAGATGTAATATTTGTGGGGCAGTGCTATATAGGAACACTCTGTATTTGCCATTCAATTTTGTTGTAAACCTAAAATTGCTCTCAAAATAGTCTATTTAAAAAGTTAAAATAACAAAAGAATAAAAATTGACAGTCTTTTTGAGGCTATCAGATCAGCAAAGAAATTTCCCCTCAGTTTTGAGTAGCCAGGTAGTGGGAAACAAGCTCATATTCTATTATTTGAATTACAAGTTAACATTTTTAGATGGTACTTCTACAAAAATAAAAACATGTAAATCCCCTGACTCAGCAATTCCCAATTTGGTATTTTATTCTACTGAAATACTTGTAGAAAATGTGCTATGGAAACGAAATTATTCACCACAGTTCTGTTCATATGTAATAGCAAATAACTAAAATCCTAAATACCCTTAATATGAGATATAGTTAACAGACTATAGTGCAGGATCATTGCATCTTATTTATGGAAAGAAATGTGTCCTCATAATTCAAGAGTAATCCTGTCAAAAAAAGGACGAGCAGTTCTATTTACCAATGCAGATAACAAAGACAGTGCAATAAAAGGGAATTATTGGTATTCAATACAAAGAATGAGTAAATCTATGTATTGACATAAAAAGTATATATATATAGTCATATTAATGAGTATTACATATATTATTGAAGCAAGCTCTAGATCAGTATATATAGTTTAAAATAAGAAACAAAGTATACATGTATACTTTTCATGTACAATATAGTATAGCTGTATATGAAAAAGGTTTGTAAAGACACATACCAAACTTACAACCATGGTTATCTTCTGATAACGCTATTTTTGGAATTTAAATTTTTTAAAAGCTAGAAATATAATTTTAAAATAAGAAAAACAATTATGAAAATATTGTGGAATCACTTTTGTTAAGAGTCTTGAGTAGCATCTGATGAAACTAGTTTGGATTGTCCCACTGGACAGTGCTGAAGCCCAAAATATCCACTGTGACTCTCATTTTTCTTAGAATAAACTACTCTTATAGTATGAGAAAAGAAAGTTACAGTGACAAATTGAAGAAAAAAGTCACTGACTTACCCTCATTTCCTTAAGACCAGATTACTGACACAGGGAAAAATACCAAAATATAAGATTTAAATGGAAACTAAAAAATCACATAAGTTCTAAATAAAAACATGGGGGTTCTTCTACAATTTGGGCACAGAGAAAGCCTTCCTAACTATAATCCAGATCCTGAAGCAATAATGAAAAACCTAATAAATTTGTTTACAGAAAAATTAATTGAAAGAAAAAAACCCTTCATCTAGGACAAAAACAAACAAAATAACAAAAAACAAAGGGTTACTTTGTTTTCTTTTACAAATGATTGTAAAAAGACAATCATTTGTCTGTTTACTTTAAAAGACAAATGATTAATTGAAAAAATGAGAAAAACCTTTTCAAGTTATACCACAGCAGACAACATTTTTTTTGGAGTATGACATAGGACAAAGAATAAATTCTTAACAATATTGAGAAATGGGATTTTTGGTGTGGGAGAAAGAAGGTACAGGTGTGAAAATGATAAAACGAAGTAAAAACCTTGTTGTACTTAATCTAAATTCCAAGAATCAGTATAAACACACAGACTATCTTGCCTATCAGAGAGCAGGAAAACTATCAAACACTTATATTAAGGTCACAACCAAAGGACCTGGGAAATCCACTTGAAGAGGCTTTCACTGACCGAAAATGGCACAATTTGTATACCAAGAAGGATACATAACCTCAATTGACTGAAATATCTCAAATATGTTTAAATTCCTGTTAGCTCACAGTAATACTACAAACAAAATAAACAAAAACCAAACCTCATGGTAACTTTTGCAGGGTGATAGTGAGCAACTCATTATTTTGAAAACTGGTAAATAAGGGAAATATCCAAGCATCTATCTTGCCTTTCCTGTAGGAACTATTCCTCAAAGAAGGCAAATGACTGATAAAAGGGGGTCTTTTATATTTTACAAACCTTAATGAAATAATGTTCTGAACAATGATCCTTAAAGGCTGTTTATATCACAAAAAGAGACAAGAAGATATTACATATCTCCTGATGGAAGTACACAATATCATTTCTGAAGTGGTCTTCATATAGTGAAACCAGAACTTGATCAAATATTTGGACCAAACTACCAATGTACAGAAAATACAAGGTCAGAGTAACATGCTAAACAGTATCAGGAAAATCCAGATTGTAATGCTCTATAGGACAAATTAACCTGTTTTTTTTTTTTCAACAAAAACTTGCAAAGAAAAAAAAATTAAGAGGGATGGAGGGGTAATCTAACAGATTAAAAGAGATTTAAGACTTATCAACCAGAGGCAATGTTTGAACCTTACATTCCAATTCAAACTCTAAACAAAAGGCCACTGGAGAAATGTAAACACTGACAGGATATAAGAAGAAATCATAATATTGAAGGGAATTAATTTTTTTCTGTAGGAGTATGGTGGTGGTGGTGGTATATAGTATTTATATCTAAAGAGTGAGGTCCCTAACTTTTAGAGATAAATGCTTACAGATCAAAAAACCAAGCATCAATATGTGATGATATAAGAGGGAGTGGGGCTTACTGAAAAGAATCTATATTATACATCTAAAAGGAGAATTATGGCTCATGCCTGTAATCCCAGCACTTTGGGAGGCTGAGGTGGGCAGATCACTTGAGTTCAGGAGTTCGAGAACAGCCTTGGCAACATGGCAAAACCCTGTCTGTATAAAAAAATGCAAAAATTAGCTTGGTGTGGCGGCATGCACCTGTAGTCTCAGTCACTTTGGAGGCTGAGGTGGGAGGATGGCTTGAGCTCACAAGACAGAGGTTGCAATGAGCCAAGATCAAGATAGCACCACTGCATAGAAGCCTGGGTGACATAGTGAGACTGTGTCTCAAAAAAAAAACAAAAAAAAAAGGGAAAGAAAAAGAAAAAGAAAAAAAAAGGAGAATTATAAATACAAAAAGACTACATAAAGTGTGGTGCCAATACAGAACTAAGAACAGGTTAAATGTATACTCAAAGTCACTTTTAAGTCCTTAAAAGGAAGAGAGCACATAGCTATTTCAACTTTAAATACAAAGCAGTTTACAATAATATATAGGTAAAGAAAATAATTTTAGCTTTAAATCTGATGGAAACAAAGAAAGTTTTCTGGTTTGTTTTTTTTTTAAAAAGAGACAGTGTCTTACTTTATAACCGAGGCTGGAGTGCAATGATGCAATCATAGCTCACTGTAGCCTTGAAGTCCTGGGCTCAAGAGATTCTCCAGTTCTCAGCATCCCGAGTAGCTGGCATTACAGGCTCAAGCCACCATGCCCAGCATAAAGTTCTTTACTAGTATTTTTGATATGATATTAAAGAAATCAGAACAGCCACTTAGTGGTCAATGGCTATCATATATATGTTCCTACTTGGAACTGGAACTAAATATGAATAAGAGCCATTTCTCTTTTCATGTCGTTATGCTTGTAGTATCCTAACTTCTCACAGTTTCCTGGACATACAAGGTCCTTTTACACTCCTGTGCTTGCTCTTAACATTCTGACAGGTTTATTTTAGCATGAAAAATTCCTACTCATTCTTTAAGACTCAACTAAAATGTAATGCTTGTAGTAAAACTCTCCAACCATCTCAAAGTTAAATTGTCCAATATGTTGCAAACAGCACTATGAAACTATCTTTTTTACAGTACTTACTTATACTGTAATTTATTTGTTTTTTGGTCTGTGTCCCTCAGGACTGGGAGTGATTTTTGTATTTCTATCTTCTGGCACATGCACCCTCGTAGAGGATGCTTAACAAATATTTGCAGACTAAAACTAAACTTATTAGCAATGCAGTAGTGAAAAGCTATGGATAAAAAAAAAATGGCATGCTCTAAGAAGCCCTGTTTAATCTGTCTTGTTTAGAAAAGACTAGCAAGAAAAAGGTAAATCATCAAATTATGTAACACTGATCTATTAGCAAGATGGGAAACTGTCAGACATCTAGGTTCATTAACTCTTCCGGCAACTTATCTTGAAGTAACCTAAACACTTCATCTAAAGCAGTTATGCTTAAACTTCTTTATTTTTATCTTTTTAGACATGAGGTCTCACCATGTTGCCCAAGCTAGACTCGAATTCCTAGGTTCAAGCGATCCTCCTGCCTCAGCCTTCCTGGGCAGCTGGGGCTACAGGAGTGCACCACTGCGACAAGCTTCGTAAACTTTTTGAAAAGTTAACAAACACCTTTAGCACACTACCCATTCCATCAACTACTATTTGCCATGAAAAAAACAAAAATCTCAAGACAAATGGAGAGAGTAAAATTGGCATGCAGTGAAGAAAGTTTCAAATTAACTTACAAACATACACCTTAAAAAGAAAGAGATGGTCAAATTAAATGAATGAAGGAAATAATCCTTCAATGAATGAAGGAAACAACCTAAAGGACTGATTTTTAAAGAATTTTTTTGACAAATAGATTTTATACTATGATCAAATACACATATATAGGTCACATATATATAACTGAAAACAATATTTACCCTTGCTAACATGGTGAACTATGATATATTTAATTTTTTCATTGAAAAGAAAAACAAACAAAAACCTACTAAAATGATCCACAGTCCCACTACTGGGTTGAGAGTTACAGTTTGATCATTGCTATCCTATAGATATTTTGCATACTATTAATAATCCCTAGGCTACACAGGTAGCCATAATCATATAAAAAATCTGTATATGAAGTTTACAATAAAGTATAATATCTATATCACAAAAATATGAATAGCAAAGATAGCTTGTAAAAGATATGGTAATTTCTGCTATTAATTATGAAGAGTGAAATGGAATCTTTGATATCTAAAAAATGAACAGTGTTATGTCTATTAAAACAAATGCTGGCAGGGCTTAGTAGCTTACGCTTGTAGTCCCAGCACTTTGGGAGGCCGAGGCCAGAGGGATCACTGGAGGTCAGGAGTTCCAGACTAGCCTGGCCAACGTGGTGAAAAAAAAAACAAAAATTAGCCAGGGATGGTGGCACATGCCTGTAATCCCAGCTACTCAAGAAGCTGAGGCAAAAGAATTGCTTGAACCTAGGAGGTGGAGGTTGCAGTGAGTGGAGATAGCGCCACTGCACTCCAGCCTGAACAACAGAGCGAGACTCTGTTTCCAAAAAAAAAAAAAAAAAAAAAGACAAATGCCTTAGTCCTAGACCTCTAAAAAAATGACTGAAGGCAAAAGGTCTTACCTAAGTACTGTCAAAGGAATTAAGATTTTTATTTTAACCAACATTCTTTTCAAGTTTTCCTTCAAGTCTAAGAAAGGTTTATTTCAAAAGTTCATCTTAATTAAATTGTAAGATGGTATGGCTTTAAAAATAATTTTCATAGGTATCCATCCCAAACTCAAATTCAAGACAAGTCATTCTCTTTCTAGCACATTATTACTTCTAAGTTTCTACTATATGGAAATACTATAGCTGCCACTAAGTTCAAGCCACTTAAAAACGACAAAAACAACAAAAAAAAGCTTTTAACAGCCAAATATATAATTAAATTCTTAATTGATTTTCTTTACTGAAAACAAATATTGAACCGTATTCTCTACAACGTACCATTAAGCAATGAAGTTCTTTCCATCACTTATATATAAATTTCTTAGTTTAGGTCCACATAATGGATCATAAATATAACTCTTGTAGTTTCGCTAAAGTTAGTGGTTCTAAAGGAAAATTTTCATGCAACTATAGATGACAGAAACTTAAATATAAAAGCATTCCAAAACAAAGAATACTTTTATATATCAAATAAAATTGCCATTTACTTTTTACAAGACTGCCACAGACACATGAAGTTCTGTCCAGGTTTTCTCATTGGATCTCCAGGCTGACTGGATCCACTGAATGGAGAAGGCTGAGAACTGTTAGGCTGGCCCTGCACTTGTACAGCTGGTGAAGGTGGCATAGGAGTGTTCTGTGAAAAAGAACAAATGCAGAGTTTGTGACATGACACTGAAAAAATTCATATTTTATAGTATAGTCTTATAAATTTGATTATGTTGTTATACATTTCTACCATAAAATTTACATTTTATAATTTTAAGCTTATGATTACCTTTAAAATCTTTAAAAATTATTTTTATAGAAATATTTAGAAAGTTTATTTTATTTAATATAAAACCACGAAGGTAATACCACATTGTTATTACCACTATAAAATATATATTATTTAAAATAAAGATTTTTAGGATGAAACAATACAATTGTAGATTTAAATGAGAAATAAATATACTATAAATGTACCCATTGGATTTACTTATGTGAATTCTTCACAAGAACAGATCAACTGCAAGTTACTACTTTTTTGTATGTTTACTTTTAGATTTTCTAAAGAATATAATGTGAAACAATATGGTAAAAAGCAATGAAAATTTTAGATAGCAATAATGATGTAACCATATGTATAAAATATGATATTAACTAATTTGCAGTAAGCTGCTTAACAATTTTAGATTTTGAAGTTGCTCAATTATGTATTTTTGTTATTTTTAGAGACAGGGTCGGTCTTGTTCTGTTGCCTGGGCAGGTTACAGAGGCATAATCATAGCTCACTATAATCTCAAATTACTGGCCTCAAGCCATCCTCCCCCTTTGGCCTCCCAAAGTGCTGGCATTACAGGTATGAGCTGCCACATCCAGCCCCCAGTCTAATTATATCTTTTGTTATTTATGTAAGAATTCTAGGCTGGGCACGGTGGTTCATGCCTGTAATCCTAGCACTTTGGGAGGCCCAGGGGGGTGGATCACCTGAGGTCAGGAGTTCGAGACCAACCTGGCCAACATGGCGAAACCCCATCTCTGCTAAAAACAAAAATTAGCCAGGCGTGGTGGCAGGCGCCTGTAATCCCAGCTACTTGGGAGGCTGAGGCAGGAGAATCACTTGAACCCGGGAGGCAGAGGTTGCAGTGAGCTGAGATCGCTCCACTTCACTCCAACCTGGGTGAAAGAGGAGACTCTGTCTCAAAAGAAAAAATAATAATTCTAATTGTAGGCATAAAGTCTTTTAAATATATCCTATAATTTTTTTCTTTTAGATCCCATCCCTTTCTCTTGGAAAAAACACTAATAATCAAAATGTACCTTAAATCAAATTTAGGCAATATATTTTCTTGAAATACCACAAAGGGAAAAATTAATGTTAAATTTCTTATAGAAATGGTAGTACATTATTTTTGAAGAACTGCTTAAAGGCAGTAAATTAAAACTCTGGGAAAACATTGAATATACTTGTTCATTTATAAGGTAATGCAGTCGTGCATCACTTAATGACAGGAATATGTTTGAGAAATGGGTCACAGAACATTTCATTGTTCTGTGAATGCCATACGGTGTACTTCCACAAACCTAGATGATATAGCCTACTACATACCTAGGCTATATGGAATAGCCTATTGCTCCTAGGCTAAAAATCTGTATAGCATGTTACTGTACCGAATACTATAGGCAACCGTAACACAATGGTTAAGTATTTGTGTATCAAAACATAGAAAAGGTACAGTGAAAACAATATTATGATCTTATGAGACTATTGTTGTATTATGTGGTCCATCCTTGACAGAAATGTCCTTAAGTAGCACATGACTGTACTGGCAATAGGTGGGAAAGCAGTAAGCTAAAATTGCTGAGAACTTAGATTAAAAGCCACAGTAATTTTCTTTAGAAAAAAAGATAAATCACAAACATACAAGGCTACTATGACATACAAATGAAAGAAGGAAGAGAATAACATGTTGAAAGACAAAGTTGTCAGAAATGGGAAGTCAAGAACTTTTGAGTTCTAAGCTCTGAGGGAAAAATCTACTTCAAGACTGACATTTCTATAATAGGTTCCCACTCTTAAGATTTTACAATAAGAAAACATACACATGCACCAAAAACATTTTAGGGCCGTAGAGATATCACAAATAGGATGAGGATTTTCCAGCTTGACAGATCAGGACTCACACTTTCAATCTGATTTTTACTAGCCATGTGATCTTGGGCTACCGACTTAACCTCTCTGATCCTCAGTTTTCTCATCTGTAAAGTGTAAGTAATAAAAACTAACTTATGAGATGATGGGAAGACTAGAGAAACTATAAATGAGAAGCCTAGCTCAAGAGTCTCAATAAATGGCAATAATAGGAAACCATATTTCAGAGGAAAGATGATCGGTTTAGTTTGGGAATAATGACAGATGAACGAACTAAAAATGTCTATCAATAGAAGTTAATGTTGGAAAAATAAATCTGAAAACCATTCACCTGCAAATTCTAAAAGCCATAGAACTCTGATGGTGAGAAAGTGGCATGGGAGGAGGGGTTAAAGAGCAAGGAAAGTATAAAAGGAAAGTTTCTTTCTTTCTTTCTTTTTTTTAGATAGGGTTTTGCTCTGTCACCCAGGCTGGAGTGCAATGGCGTGATCACAGTTCACTGCAGCCTTGAACTCCTGGGCTCATGCAATCTTCCCACCTCAGCCTCCTGAGTAGCTGTATCTTCTATGGTTGAGATAAACAGGATGGTGAATAAACCAGACACCATGACACCTAAAACCATACTGAAGAAACTGGGAAAGAGTATTCTAAAGAAGAGGTGAGAAGGAAAGACACTTTCAAAACCTTGTAAGGAACAAGAATTGTATTTACTCTGAATGTGATATAAGAGATACCTCTAGCTAGGCCAGGCACGGTGGCTCATGCCTATAATCCCAGCACTTTGGGAGGCCAAGGCAGAAGGATCACTTGAGCCCAGGAGTTTGAGATCAGCCTGGGCAACATGGCAAAACCTGGTCTCTACAGAAAATACAAAAATCAGACAGGTGTGGTAGTGTGCACCTGTAGTGCCAGCCACTCGGGAGGCTGAAGAAGGAGGATTGCTTAAGCCCAAGAGGCAGAGGTTGCAGTGAGCCAAGAGTGTGCCACTGCACTCCAGCCTAGGCAACAGAGCGAGGCTCTGTATTAAAAAAAAGAGAGAGAGAGAGGGAGAGAGAGAGAGATGCATTTAGCTAAATGTATAAGTCTTCAGAGAAGAGAATTAAGACAGTAATAGAAATCACTGGAAAAGAGATTTTTGTGAATGTGGACAATTCACTTCAACTCTTAAAAGTAGGAGTTTTGGCCAAGATATAATATCAGAGACCCTTCAGCTCTAACATTTCCTCATTTTCTTAAATTACCAAGTTTTTTCCTCTTATTAAGTATAAATTTAGATCATCAATACATGCCAACACTACTTTATAAGAACACATTAAAATATAAACAAAAAAGTTATGTAATACTTTTCTTAGTTTTATAATGTGCTATTGGTCTACAAATCTGAGTGGCAGTACTCTTAGAAAAACAAAAGTGATATTCTTGTGGCTCTTGCTAAACTGTTCTTTTATGGCTACAACTAAATGCTGCCCCCGCCTGAGGCTACCAATCTATTTTCTGATGGGTTGAGTAACTTTCTCAAGCTCTTTACCAGTAAGATACCAATATTCCATGTTACACAGTACCATTATTAGGAATGATTTACACTCTGAATTGAGGCGAGGCATATGTTAAATATCTTAAATATGTATATCCTTAAACTATTTTTATGTATAAGAATTTGGCATGTTATCAGATTATGGGATTAACAGATAACTAACAGATTATGTTCAACATGTATTTTGTATGATCCTGAAAAAAAACCAAGTCTTATGTTAAGTTTTTGTATCTAAGTTTCTTTCATTTTATAAATTCTTTTTTATTTTTAGTATGCCATTTAGCAAATATGTTTCCAACAGATACCAATTCATGAACAGTGGAACAGGGCAGGGCTTCTGGAAATAGTATTCTATAAATTGTGCTTCAACTTGCAAGTATTACATTTGAAATAAGCAGTTACCAATAAAGAAATGTGCCTTGAAGTAGGTACAGTTTATTTTATATTTATATAAACTACCCAGCTAAATACTAAATATAAAAATCAATGGGTATATCATTTACTTTCACATAGATTCTTTTTACTTGTTGCTATTTTTTTCTGTAATAAAATTAATATAGCTGATTAATGGAGGTTGGAAGAAACAAAACTGAGAAGAAAAAAAATGAATTACAATGGCATTAGAAAGGATTACTTGTTGCTCCTTCTTGGCAAGGAGACTTCCCTGTGCTCTTTCCAGCCCTGGGCATTCTGCAAGTCTGGAAATCCCTTATCAGGGTGCAAGTACTTCCTTAACATCCCTAGATCCCTTGAAATTGTAGAATAACAAGGTTTCTCCAAAAAAAATCACAATTAAAATCCTCTATTTTGTCTACTCCTTTAAGCTACCAATTCAAATAGTGAATAAAATGGTATTAAACCAAGGTCTAACATGCAACTTTAAAGAGTATATAAAGAAATTTAGTCAGGCATGGTGGCTTACGCCTGTAATCCCAGCACTTTGGGAGGCCGAGGTGGGCGGATCACGAGGTCAGGAGCTTGAGACCAGCCTGACCAACATGGTGAAACCCAGTCTCTATTAAAAATACAAAAATCAGCCAGGCATGGTGGCCTGTAATTCCAGTTACTCAGGAGGCTGAGGTGGAAGAATCGCTTGAACCCGGGAGGTAGAGGTTGCAGTGAGCTGACATCATGCCACCGCACTCCAGCCTACGCAACAGAGCGAGACTGTGTCTCAAAAAAAAAAAAAAAAAAAAAAAAAGAAAAGAAGAAAGAAAAAGAGTACATAAAGAAATTTAAGCCAGGTCTGTTGGCTCACACCTATAATCTCAGCACTTTGGGAGGCCAAGGCGCGGGGATCACTCAAGTCTGCTAGGAGTTTAAGACCAGCCTGGGCAACATAGGGAGATCCCAACTCTACAAAAATAAAACATAAAACAAATTAGCTGGGCATGGCAGTACATGCCTGTGCTCCCAGCTACAGTCTTGGGAGGCTGAGGTGGAAGGATTACTTGAGCCAAGGAGGTCGAGGCTGCAGTGAGCTGTGATTGCACTACTGCACTCTAGCCTGGTCAACAGAGTAAGCCCCTGTCTTCCCCACCCAAAAAAGAAAGAAATTAAAAGGATGGGGGCAATAATGGTTATGGCTTTCTGTTAATTAGCATGCTTTTCAGAAGGCCCAACAACCTTCTCTTCAAAAGAAACTTATAACGCCATCTTGAACAGTTAATTTTTTTGTCTGTTAAAAATATTTAGCCCCAATAGGTACTTCATCATCTATAAAAAGATAAAGCATACCTTCCCCATTACTAACTGCCCATATATGTAGCAGGCACTGGGCTAAGTGCTATATATAAGAATGCTGTTTTTGTTATTCTCATTCTCATAGACATCATGTACGCTACATCTCTTTTTCCTTGCAAAGTTTTAAATTTCTATAAGACAACCAAATATCAGTTTTAGAAATAAAGAATGTACCTATTTTAAATAAACTACATCCTTTGTGAGAATGTAAGAAAGTTTAATACAGATTTTTCAGATTAGGAACAAAATGTATTGATTTCTTGGCCTGAATTAACTACATATATGTCCAATGTGCTAAGTAAAGCATTTTAGCATTAATGTCCTAAAATTATCATTTAGTAGAACATCTCATAACACCACAGCTCAAATAACCAATGAGTTTTAGCAATAATGTCCTAAAATGATCATTTAATAGAACATCCTCTAACACAACAGCTCAAATAATCAATATGTTAGATTAAAAAAAGGCTCTCTAGAGCTTTATAGAGAAATCTTCTAGAACAGTGGAAAGAAGAAAGGTTAATGGGTTAAGAGCATGAGTTTTGGTTTCAGACAAACCCAGGTTTCTGTCCTGGTACCACCTCATATTAGTTGGTAACCTTGGGCAAGTTACTAGCCATCTTGAGTCCTCATCTTTATAATAAATTTTACCTAATAAGGTTGTGTGAGGATTAAATGAGAAACTGCTTTAGTATAAAGTCCCTATGACATGTCCTCGTCTTAGCTAGTATTATTGTTCATTCTTTGTAATTGTGATATTACTGACTACAACCACATTGGAAGATTAAGGGTACAAAAAATGAGTGTTGGTGAAACAATTCCATAATGATGGAGATGGAGTTTTTCTCTAATTTGGCTTGGTCTGTTATAACTATTTAGGATTGTAAAGGTCTCTAAGAGGAGTAACAGGCACATAATCAAGGTGAAGTGGGAAATTATTAAATATAAGAGAAAAAACCTAACTATGGAATATCTACTATATACTCCACATTGCACTAATTAAAAAATTGTGTTTAAGTGGAAAGCTCAACATGTGGAAGCTTGAATAAAAATGATACAGTATTTTCCATCAATAACTCAGGATTAATTATTGCCATGTATATAACATCCCTCAAAGCAGAAGTCTCCAATCTTTTTGGCACCAGGGACCGGTTTCATGGAGGACAATTTTTCCACAGACCAGGGAGTGAGGAGATGGTTTTGGGGTGATACAAGCGCATTACATTTATTAAGCACTTTATTTCTATTATTACACTGTAATATATAATGAAATAATTATACAACTTGCCATAATGTAGAATCATTGGGGGCTCTGAGCTTGTTTTCCTGCAACTTGACAGTCCCATCTGGGGAATGGGAGACAGTGACCGATCATCAGGCGTTAGATTCTCCTAAGGAGCGTGCAACCTAGATCCTTCGCATGCACAGTTCACGATAGGGCTTGTGGTCCTACGAGAATCTAATGCTGCCACTGATCTGACAGGAGACAGAGCTCAGGATATAACGTGAGTGATGGGAAGCGGCTGTAAGTAAATACAGATGAAGCTTCACTCGCTCACCTGCCGCTCACCTCCGGCTGTGTGGCCCAGTTCCTAAAGGGCCACGGACTGGTACCTGTCAGTTATTCTACTAGTTCTGAAGCAAGGGGCTCTTCCCTTTGTTCTTGTACTTTCCATTTGGCTATTGCCCACACCTAGATTTGGCACTAATGCCAACAATAGCCATATATCTGCTGTCATCACCGTAACCATACAGAAGCCCAAGCCAGAACTGTGTCAGCAGAGTTGGCAGTAGTCATAGAAGGTTCTGGCTATGTAGGAATTAGGAAGAACAGAGTGAAAGAAAAGTGATCCAGGAAACAGGTGGTGACGACTGTTAAGAGAATCCATGATTTCAGTGGAAAGAGCATATAAGATTGTCCTTAAAATCCTCATAGCCTGATTGGACCCTCAACTTGGTAGTGCTGATTTTAGAAAATACTTGTTTTTACTAAGGCATGCAGAGATGGAATCTTAGGCATTAAAAAGGGAATAGCAGGAATAGGACAGTAAAGCAAAGGAGTAAGAAACAGAAAAGAATATCAGAATATCTGAAACAAATTGAAATTACAATAAATAATACTTTTTAACACTAAAGGAGACTAATGCAATACATAAATACAAAAAGAATACGACTGATAAAGTTATTACAAGATTCATCCTTATTACAACAGTACTGTTAAAGAGGCAACAAAAACACACTCAGGTCAAAATCAAATACAGAAATCCCCATTTAGAGTACTCTTAGGACCCCCATTCCCCCCAACACTTGTGCAGTAAACTCAAAAAGGAGATTAAGATACATTTTTTAAATTCTCCAAAAGATGTCAGATTAGCAACTGCTTCTCTACCTTGGGCCTAGAAAATTATTAATTTGGATCTATAACAAAATTGAAAGATTCTTTAAATCATGTGCTAAAATTGAAAACTAATATTACAAAACCAGAGAAAAAGAAAAGGACAGGTTGGATACAAGTGAGCTGATACAGTAACTTTTCAAGATGAGACATGGAAAACAGTGCATTTCCCTCTAAAATTGTATTTACAGATCAGAAATTTCATAAGAGAAATGTGATCATGGAATAACTTACCTGCGGGACCACATTCTGTACATATGTTGGTGGATGCTGTTGCTTTTGCTGAACAGCACTTTCTATTGCTACTTTAGCTACAGTGCTTGGATCTGCTCCTGCTGGCACAGCAACCATTGTTGCGCTGCAGCCAGCATTGTTGGGGTCACTGATTGTAACAATTCTAACTCCTACTTTATTTGGAATTCCTGCGACTGTTTCCCTATCAGTATCCTCTGCTGGCCTCTTTACAGTTTTGCATTCTGCTGTGCCATTTGTAGACCGAACGTCAGATGATAGGGCAGGAGAATGGGATACTTTTGATCCTGAGTCGGGAACTGCTATGATTTGATGTCCCTGTATAACAGAGGTTGTAGAATGTGGTGAGACAACTACACTTGGGCGTTGCTGAGGCACATCTGAATTCAAACTTGAAGCTAGAGGTCCATTAAGCAAATCAGTACCACTAAATTGCTGTGTTGCCGCATTTGAAGCCTCCTGTATACTGCTCACAGATGAACCACCCAAAGTTAATACAGGTCCATTAGAAATTCTTTCTAGTTGATCACCTTTGGCAGTATCTTGCTGAGTGATATCTAAAGTCCCTTGTGGTTCCATTGGAGATATCTCACCATTTCCTACATGATTGGAAGTTTTATGATTTGGAATGTTTTTGCTTAAATGAGAACCATCTCCTTTATCAAAATCACAGATTCCATTAACTAGCGGTTTTCTCAAATCACTTTTGATATCTTGCATGTCTATTTGTTCTGAGTTCTGTTTCCCAGATGCTCCATTCTCACCTAATTCCAATGATGGCCCATTACTGATTAGTGAGCACTGATTAGTCTCACTTTGAATTTTCCCTGAGTTTGAAGGAGGTAGACTTGAGTCACTGTACTTTCTCCCATTTAAAAGACTTCCCACATGCATTTCATTTTCCTTTGTATCCCCATTGCTGGTGTTTGTGGCTCCTCGTCGGCAGGACGGGTTCTCCATGACTTCAATTTTACGTTCATGAACATGTAAACCTGTTGCTTCCTTTGCTTCCTCCTCCTTTTGGCAAATTATTTTATCACCTTTGAATGGGGGAGTAGCAGTAGTACATGATGATTGTCCAGCAGGAGATGCTTGAGTGGCTGGAAGCGTTTGTACTGGAAGTCCAACTCCTGTCTGCGTTCCGCTCATGGTAATTCCTGCTGGAGCAATGAGCTGAGTTGCATTTCCCTGACTCACAGTTGCAGGTGCAAAACTCGTATTTGGCACAACTGTTATGGTTACCTGGTTGCCAGAAGTCCCTTGGAAAATGGTTGCTGGGCTATTTGAGATCAGTGGACCTGGCAATATTTGTAAGTTCGAAATGGGCACAGTTTGTACTCCCCCTGAGGGTGGCATTGCACTTGGGACCAACTGAACATTTTGCTGCCCAACCAATAGCTGCTGAGCTGGAGTTTGCCCCTGCACTCCAAAACCTGCGGCTTGGTTACTGGCCACCTGATAGACCACCTGAGGGCTAGGAGCTCTTGCATTATTAGGGGGAGGAATCTGTGGAGCTGGGAGAATAAGCTTACCACCTGGTGTTGAAGGACCACGTTTCGGAAGCAGAAGCTGTTTAATCAGACTCGACTCACCAGAGGCAGGCTGACCAACTCCTGCATTCGACTGTTGAGGTTGAACTTGCATCTGTACTTGTTGGGGCTGCTGAACTTGTACTTGTACCTGCTGTGGTGGGGGTGCTGGTGAATGTTGCTGCTGTTGCTGCCTTTTCACAGATAACATTTGACTGACAGTAGGAGGTGGTCCCTGTGATTGAGGGGTAGAGGACGACGACATGGCAGTAGGGACTTGGTTATTAGTAGCTGGGACAGGTGATGGTGAAGAAGATGGAGTTATGTTAGGTTGTCCAGTTAGCTGAACTGTCTGACCAGCTGGAAGAGCTGCTGGATTAGCAAGAACAATTTGGTGAATGGCTGGTGCATAAGTTTGACCTTGTTGAGCTGGCTGGCTTACAATCACTACGCTTTGTTGGGTTGGCTGCTGTGGTTGTTGAATAGGCTGCTGTACCACTGTAGATGAAACTTGCTGAGAAGGGAGAGGTTTTGGTGCAATGTTCTGAAACCCTACCCTTGAGGCTTGTGGACTTGGGACACCAGCAATAGTAACCATTTGTCCTGTAGCTACCTGAAAATTCTGTACTGAAGTTGCTGAGACAATATTGGATGCAGAAGTTGTTACATACTGTGGGGGTGCTATGATAACAGTATCTTGTGACTGGCTACCAGCTGATGTCTGTTGAGATGAAGTTTGCACAGGTTGGGGTGATGTGGTGATTAACTGTTGACCCTGTGAAACTGTAGAAGTACATGCTGGTATGTTCTGTACTCTGCCAAACATATGACTCTGTGGGACAGCTTGTTGAATTACTGTAACAGGAGTGCCTGAAGGGATCTGTCCTGGTACCACTGTGTGTAATGGAGACTGCTGTGGAATTACAGATGGATGGTGAAGCAATGTCTGAGAATTCACAACTGTAACAGGTTGTGGCCCTGTACTATGATTCTGAACAACAGAACTCTGTGGAGGTCCTCCTCCAACAGCAATACTAACAGGAACTCCTGTCTGGGGTATGGAATTCTGGATAACTGTAGCCTTAACAACTTCACAAGGAATTGGAGCTTTACTTTGAATGACAGTCACTGGAGCATTTTGTTGCTGGTGGGTATGAGGTGAAGGATTTTGTGGAATTCTTGAAACAGTTTGTGCCACAGTATGAACACCTTGTACAGGAAAAGACATTTGTGTTGCAGTCAGATTTGAAGATTGGTTGGCAACAGGAGTCCTCTGAAAATGGTTTCCTATGGTTTGTGATCCATGAGGGATTCCTGAAAATATGAAGAAAACGTCAAAATTCCAAATGAAATGACTGAAAATCCCAAGTAGGAATTATTTTACTTAAGAGAAAATAGTTTTAAGAAATTAACATCTAACAATTTTGAATCATATGAATATGGTAATAGACCAAGTAAGAAAATGCTACTGGAGACACAAAAGTTATACATTTAAAATGCATAGAATATATATTTTTCATTCAGTTTTATTATTAAATCAGTAATACTTTAAAAATACAATAAAAATTAACACCTGCAGGTGAAGGAGCAGGAGATACATCAGGAACAGAATCAACACGAACAACAGAAGTAGAAACTGGTTGCTGCTGATAGTACATCTGAATGGGAAGTGGTATAGCCCTCCGTTTTACTCCTACCACATGAATATGTGCCTGCCCATTGCTACTGGAATCCTCCACTCTCTTCACTGTATGATTTGGAAAGACCGTTCTGTAAAGTACATACATAATCAGTAAGTTTTGATAACTATCACATTGACTTCTAACATTATGTTTACATGAACAACAGCAGTATGTTTACTGTTGCTTATGTATGAACCAGTATGACTCACAGTTATATTCTGCAAGGATGGAAAGCAAAGAAATATAAAAGATTAATCATCCCATTTAAAACATCATTATTTATTAACAATGTCGCTGGGTTTTAAACAATTCCACCCACATATAACTAATAAAAGATACCTATTTTTATGTACTTTGCAAAATATCAAAAAGTCTTTGTATTTGAAGATAATAATATTATATTCTATTATTCAAGATTAAAAAGATACAGTCATGTCTTTAACATGTAAAAGTAGGTAGGAAAAAGAAAGTAAACTTCATTTCTTTGATAAATCTCATAATGTTCCAACACAAACACTAGATGTGATTTCTGAAACTGCTTTTTATTTAAACCTCCACCACACTATAACCTATCCATACGAAACTTCTAGTAGTAGAAATATTTAAAACTAGATAAGATATTTGGTATTTTCTTTAAAGAGCAAGAGATGTTGTAAGTGACGTAAATGGACTTTATTTAAAGAACTATGGATCCTACCTAAGACATTTATAAAATCCAGTTGATGTTAGGATTCCACCACGAGCTAATTTACTGCAAGTCGAGAGGTATTCAGAATACATTTCTGCTCGAGAAACAGAACAATCTGGATTTACTTCAAAATGAGCATTTAGCCTAAAAGAGGAGAAAAATTAAGCATTATACAATATACTCTAGGAAACTCCATATTTAAATATACTAAAGCCATGTGGAGGCAATGTGTTAAAACTAATAATTATACCTACTAATCAAATTTCACTGACTCATACGTTAGTAGCAAAAATATATGCTAAATTTTAGATTAAATCAATAGATTAACATGCTTATTTTAGTATTAAAAATGACACTGACAACAAATATAAAAACTATGTTCACATCCCAATGAGAGCAGGGTTGGTCTGCTGACAACAAATGTTCTATAAGAAATAGTTTTATTTAGTGAATATCTATTCGGCATCCTGTCTTGTAATAATCATAACATAAAACAAGTTCCCAATTACGTGCTATTTGCATTGTAGCTGAAGAAAATGGGGGGAAACTGAACTAAGGTTAAACTTTCCTTGGCTCTTGGATCAAATTCCTTCAGAAAAAACTTATCCAAGCTTTTCAGCTACTTCCTAAAACAATGACACTTTCCATGCTGCACACTCCCATTTCCCCATTTCAAAACAGTTTTAATTTGTAATCCATTACAAACTAATTCAAACCTCATTTTGTCTTTTTCTTAAAATGACCTTTACCTATAAATTGGGATTGGAGGCCTGATTACCCTGATAGGCTCTTTCCATAACTCACTATGTATAATAGGCTAAACTTAGTTTTTCTGAAAAACTAAATCAAATAGTAATTATGATTTAAAAAAAAAACTGTAAAATGATTCTCTTCCCCCTCTCCAAGAAATAGCAGAAACGTGCAACTGGGATTTATAAGACCAAATCTATGCTTAACACATACACATTTTATAGTGGTTATGGTGTGTATTCTTTCCAACTTTCATAATCCTGTCTGTACTGAAATTTCAAAAAGACTAGATATAAAAACTTCATTTTGGTTGCAATGTAGAAGACAAACAACATTTCCAAATATTACTGGAAAAGATTCAAGTGTAAGGGGCCAATGTGTAAAAATATAGAAGGTGAGGAAAAAGCAAACAATTAGAGATATTTAAAACCATAAACCCGATTTAAGCAAAGTAGAAAAGTCTGGAGAAAACTGTCATAGGAACAAAAATGTATTGAAAGCACCAAAAATACGGAACAAAGAGTGACAGGAGCATGAAATGGGAGACAAATAATGTTAGTGAATGGCAGAAAAGTGATCAAGAAATTTTTAAAGTGATATATCATTGGAAAGTGATTGTGTAATTCAATCTGTTAATCTTCTAAAGAATTTAAGCCGAACTTCATACTAATGTTGAGGCAACTATCCATAACAAGTGAAATTTTTAAAACTCTTCATTTGCTTTTTTTCAGAAAGTGGTGCAGATAGGACTACACAATCTTTTCAAGGAAATATTATTGTCAAGCTGCTTATTTCTGTTCTATCATTTGATTAATGTCCGTCTACTATTACAAACCCAAAAATTATTAAAGAATAAGAAGTTTTGTTTTAGATGGAAGAGAAGAGACATTTTAAAACACCTGCTTTTATTTTCTTAAGGTCAGTCCAATTCAGTTTTAACAAAATGTTAATTTTAGAAGAACAAATTTTGTAACCTGACAAACTGTACTTTCTACAAAGTGAAAGATAACTTTTTAACACAAATTTTACTCTGAAAAAAGTTAAATGGTGTAATTTAATGACATTCTAGTCATACTATTTTAATTCTGAAAATTCTGATGAATATTTTTCTTTCAAATTATTCCAATATACAAGGGGATTTTAAAGTGTCCTTTCTTTGTGTAAATGATATTCTACTCTAACTAAAAAGGAATACAGAACAAAACATTCTGGATGTCTGTAGAATACATTTCCTTTTTTTCTTTGCTTTACTCCTCCCAAGGATAAATCCTTAATAGAAATAAACCACTTACCACTGACAAGCAAACTTCTCACTATCTATTTCCACTATTCCTGGAGGTGGAGCAACATGCTGCGCTACAACTGCTCTGGAAGCTAAAGAAAAAAATACATTAGCTACATCATTTCTTAAAAGTTAGTCACTATTTGCCATACTTTTTTTTATGGATATTGAACCCATTAACACAATGAATACCTTTTTAAAAGGTGTATAAACATATGAAAGTATACACATTTGAGAACAAACCTAATATATAATGGAGCACATATCATACCAGGCACTGTCTTAGAGGATTCATATGAACTATTTTGTTTAACCTCACAATCATTAAAATAATAACAATTAATATGGATGATTTAGTTAATATAACCTCTGTTATTCCCATGGGCAAGACACTGAACTAAATACTTTACAATATCTGCTTACTTAATTCTTCTGTGAGGTAGGTACAGATAAGAAAACTGAGACTCAAAGTGATTTAAAAAACTGGCCCAGGGTCATACAGTTCAACACGTAAGTTGAGCATCTTTCCGTTTAGCTACGGAAGCAGAACGCAGCTGAAATTATGGCTTCACTCCCTAATTTAAAAGATTAATAACTCTGTAAGTGGCATATATAAAATTTTTGGAATACAGTGAACAAAAGCTGAACTAATTTAAAGTCCCATATTCAAAAAAGGATTTCCATAATTTTTCTGGGGAAGAAAAAAAGAAGATATCTGTTGTAATAATAAATTTGAATTATACTTTTTTCCTGAAAGAGGCAACCTGGTTGTATACAAATGTACTAGCTATTAATCTTAAGACACATACTTTCTAAAGTTGCATCTATGACATATTCTAAAAGTTTCAAGGTCAATGAATAAATGAGTAAATCACCTATTATTTTCTAACATGTTGAAGAGATCTGTAGAAAAATGATGTATGTTACCTTTTCTTCTCCCCTATGTTATACAAAGGAACTAAGGAAAACATGAAAAGTATAAAGTCATATTATAAATTATAAGTCTGAATCATATATTTGTAAATAAAAATTAATTATCCTTTTTTCACTATTGATCAGCATTACTTTGTAGGTTTTTAGAAAACTTGCTATGTGACACGGCAATGTAGTTTTTAAGCACACAGATTATACACAATTTTTTTCAGATGATATTTTAGCAAAGCTTCTCAGAACCCTCAAACAGAACAAATGCATTTTAAAATTATTGGAACTAGGCAAGCTCCATAGTACAGCCAAATGTGTGAATGATCTGAGGCAATCATAACCTTTGATGAATGCCCCATGCTTTCTTTGAGGTAACAGCTAATTGTAGCCATTTAATAAACATATACTCTGTATAAATCCATTTATATTTACATTATATATTTTAATCTTTTAAGTCTAAGTTTAATTATACCTATTTTACAGATCAGAAAACTAAAGCTCAGAGATTAAGTTCAGCCAGGAACACGGTGGAGATAGCAGAGCTGGGTATACTTGGAAGGACTTCTTTTAAAAGTGTTGGATTTGAATCCAGGTCTGTCACATTTTAGAGGCCATACTATTATATGCTCCTTGAGATAATGCAACAGTTAGAACAAAAATAATTTTTCCTGTTGGCAATCCTAGCTTATCTTTTCTTCCCCTTCTAAGTTGACGATATTAATACAGAAAATACTTTCTAGGGCCTGAAACTGTGTAGAAATCTTCCTCCCTTTATCATCTCTACTATGAAAGAGCATACCCTACTTAGACTGAAATTTCCTGAATGAATTAGCAATCAATTTCATGAAACACTAGAAATTACGTTGAAATCATGAGAAGTCTTTATAAACAATGTAGAAAGAGGAATAAAATCACAAATGGGAATTTAAACTGGAAACATAATTACTATAAAAAGTAGCCACAAACTGAGGAGCACTGCCCTCAGGATACCTGAAGACATTCTAAATGAAGGTGCTTATACTTTGAATCAATT
The DNA here is from genome assembly GCF_000001405.40 of Homo sapiens. NCBI lineage: Eukaryota > Metazoa > Chordata > Mammalia > Primates > Hominidae > Homo > Homo sapiens. Next base: position 45,844,990 of record NC_000012.12, on the reverse strand, counting down.
TCCAGATACTCAACTTTCTTATGTATTCTTCCTAAAACTGCTTTGCATGAGAATATCACCTCCTCTTTGATAATTTTTTCTCTCATTTTGGAATCAAATGACTTAATTCTCACCCATCTTTGATAGCTCTGCAGGATTATGCATTATGGTTAAATGCATAAATCCAGAGCCAGAGAATTCCATCACTCACTAGCTAGCTGTGTAACTATGAGCAAAATAACTCTGTCCATACAATGGAGGAAAGTAACAGTACACTAACCTCGTATGTTGCTATAAGGATTAGATTATGTGCAAGTCACTTAAAATAATGCCTAGCACAAAGTAAGCACTATATAAACGCTAGCTACTATTATTATTGTTATAGTGTAACGTGGAACACTAAAGAGAGAATTAGAAACATTAGTATCCATGAAGCCTCTTAACCAAGGTATTATTGGTATAGCTTCCTGTCAATACCAGTATTTTACATATTACAATTGAGGGCAAAGTTGGGCATTAGAAATTGGGTATTCTGGCCCCTTGGTTTGTTCTAAATTCAGATAAATTGTAGAGTAATGATAATTCTGCTTAATGCCCTTGCCTCCTTAACTACTGTCAAAGAATGCATTACTTCTTAGGCAGAATCCTGTGTAAACAAAGTACAGAAAATATTTTAAAGAAATATCAAAGGTGGGCCAGGCATGGTGGCTCATGCCTGTAATTCCAGCACTTTGGGAGGCCGAAGTGGGTGAATTGCTTGATCCCAGGAGTTTGAGACTGCCTGGGCAACATAGTGAAACCCCGTCCTTAGCCAGACTTGGTGGCATGTACTTGTAGTACCAACTACTCAGGAGCCTGAGGTAGGGGGATCGATTGAGCTCCCGAGCTCAACACTACAGTGAGCCAGGTTCTGATGGCGCCCCTGCACTGCAGTCTGGGTGACCGAGTGAGACCCTTTCTCAAAAAAAAGAAAGAGAGAAAGAAAGAAAAAGTATAGAAGGTGGTGGTATTTTATTTCATTCAGATTACGAACTCATGGCAAATTCAACTGTTAAAATTCTGAAGGAAAGAACGCGTCACACTAACATACTAACATACTTTCTTGAATTGAAAAACAACATTGGACTTTTTCTAAGTAACAAAAAGAGCCTGATTAAGCAAGAGACTTTTGTTAATAAAAACTATCTTTACTAGGTTACGTGGCAGACATTTTCCGAAAAATCAACTGAGGTAAATCTGCAGTGTCAAGGTTTTCACAAAAATATATTTGAAGTATATGATAAAAAGCACCTAAACATCAAATACATTGTAACGGTCTTGAAATGAACAATATTTCAATTTTCCCAACCCAGTAATCCTAAAAATACAGTCCCTGGACTGCAGCATCTGCATCTCATGAGAACTTGATAAAAATGAAAATTCTGTGACCAGCCTGGGCAACATGGTGAAATCTCATCTCTATTAAAAAAATACAAAAATTAGCTGGGTGTGGTGGTGGCCACCTGTAGTCCCAGTTACTCAGGAGGCTGAGGTGGGAGGATAGTCTTGAGCCCAGGTGGTAGAAGTTGCAGTGAGCTGAGATAGCACTCCAGCCTGGGCAAGAGTGAGACGCTGTCTTTAGAAAAAAAAAAAAAAAGAAGAAAACATCTCAGGTCCCACCTGATCCAGAAACTCAGGGAATGTAGCCCAGAAATCTTTAATAAGTCTATCACATGATTCTGATGTACCTAAGGTTTGAGAACCACTGTGCTAAAACTTCTTGAATATATCAGGTTACACAAGATACCTAAGTAAAACAGTAACAAGTATAATTTATACTCATATCTTGTTAATATCTTTTTGATATATTTTCCAGAAACTTAAAAAAAAAAGGCCTCTAATGACTGAGCCACAAATATTCTTGCAGTCAGGTACTTGCTAATTCTTTGATTTCAACAAAACAAAGGAGAACTCAAGTTTTCAGATGATTGTAAAAAATAAGTTTAATACTTTTTGGATAATTCTGAAGTTCAAAGAACTGTAAATTCTATCTTCATCTATTTAATAATGCAAACTAGATTTTTCAATTTACATCTATAAAAAGGGAAACAGGGATACTACTGATGCTAAATTCCAGTTTCATTCTAGCAGTAAGTAATAGTCATTGAGAGATATACTGAATTAATAGCATCTAGAGAATTAGAGGGGAGAGTCCTATTCATCTTATTAAGAGATACATTTCAAGTAAATTTTTGTTTAATAATTTTTTTTTTTTTTGAGATGGAGTCTTGGTCTGTCACCAAGCTGGAGTGCAGTGGCATGATCTCGGCTCACTGCAACCTCTGCCTCCCTGGTTCAAGCAATTCTCCTGCCTCAGCCTCCTGAGTAGCTGGGACTACAGGCGCACACCATCATGCCCAGATAATTTTTGTATTTTTAGTAGAGATGGGGTTTCACCATGTTGGCCAGGATGGTCTCAATCTCTTGACCTCAAGATCTGCCCGCCTTGGCCTCCCAAAGTGCTGGGATTATAGGCATGAGCCACTGTGCCCGGCCTTGTTTAATAATTATTTATAAAAATTTACAATGTATTTACTATTTGATGTACCATTTATTAATAAAACCTGTAATGATAAAATATATGTATGTGTGTTTTATATATGTGTGTGTATATATACACATATATACATATACATGTGTGTATATATATACATATACATGTGTGTATATATATACACACACATATGTGTGTGTATGTGTATATATGTATATACATATACGTATTTTTTTTTTTTTTTGAGATAGACCAGGTTCTTGCTCTACTGCCTAAGGTGGATCCAGTGACACATTCATAGCTCACTACAGCCTTTGACTCCCTGGGCCCAAGCTGGGACTACACGCATGCATCACCATGCTCAGCTAATTTTTTTCCTGATTTTGTAGAGATGGAATCTCACTATGTTGCCAGGCTGGTCTCAAACTCCTGGCCTCCAGTGATCCTTCTGCCTCAGCCTCCCAAAGTGCTGGGATTATAGGTGTAAGCCACAGTGCCTGGCCAAATGAAATTTTTAAAATTTAGAGCTTTAAAGAATAACAAGGAATTGAAAAACTTTAAAAATGTCTATTTTGTAACTAAAAAGTATTGACAGGGTGATGAATAAAAAAGAATCTCAAACATAAAATGTATTATATTAGGATAAAACTCTTGTGAGGATACTGGAATACAAGTTCAAGGTGAAAGAGGAATATTATAAAATTTCTGATGTTAAAGAGTTTGTGTATTTTAAAAAATGAATGATGGTATCAAGATTCCACTGCATACAAAAAGCACTGTAATTATTTTCTTTTAAAAATGTAGTTTAATATACATCAAGACAATACATACTTTGCAACTATTTAAATTATGATAGAGATTTAGATGTTAACCTAAAAATGGGTAAAAGGTTATAAAAGTTTTCAGAGGGATTGAGGGAAGTGAGCAAAAAGTTTAAAGATGGTAATTCCAAAAAAAGCAGCATTAAACTATGCAGGCAATAGCTAAACCACAAAGGATAACCAATCAAACAATTTAAAGTTGTCATTCAGGGAGAGCACAAGTAATAAAGTGCTCTCCAGCTGAAAATTAACTCTTTTCAATCCTGAGCAGTCTAGTCCCATCTCTATGAATGAATTAATTACTACATAAATGAATAAGCCACAAATTCTCAATGTTTAAATTCATTCATTTGCCAAATGAGGACCAAATTTTAGATTGAGAAGTAGGTTCATTTGCTGAGGTCAAAAGAACTGTGAAGGTCAAAGGCTAACCATGCAGCAAAAAATAGTCTTCATCAAATCACCCTTGAGTATTCACTGACATTTTATCAATTTCTCTAACACTGCTCCTTTATGTCCCTCAATTAATTTAATCTTTAGTTTCTTCTTTGATGGTAAAAAACATTCCCACCTCCCACTTAACTAGCAATATGAACAGTTTCATTTCTTTCTCAAGGTTGAGAAACCATTAATATTCTGACCAAAGATTCCCCAATATAAATCGGCTGTTTAACATCTATTACCTGTAGTTGAAAGCTCATTGAATAGACTGGCAGTCAAAATTATCTATTTTGTGCCTTCTGTTATTTGTCCACTTTTGTTAGGTGGATCCAAGTTAGTTGAGTGAACATATGACACAAATCTATACACTTCAGAAGGACATAATGGAAATCAATGAAATATGTGATACTTATTACATACTTTGCATAGAGTACATAATTTTCATACTACAAGTTGGAGTAGAAGACAAATTGGGACCATGAATGAACGTGAGAACAGATAGCTAGAGATGATGAGAGTTCAATCTCATTCATAAGCATTGGCAATTGAAAAGGCCAGGTATTTAGGAAGACTCAACAAGATCTGATGAATGGATGTGATGGCTAAAGATTAAGGATAATGAAATTTTTGGTTTGGGGCTAGCGAGGGAGGATAAGAGACCTAAACGCATTTCTAGCTGAAAGGAAAAAGTGAGTAAATAAAAAGAGATTTAAGATATGGGAACATGGAGATGGGAAAGACTGATATTCAGAGTAAGTTTCAGAAGAAATTAGCATCTCTTTCTGAAATGAGCAGAAGCTAAAGGAAAATGAGTCCAGATGCTAATAAGTTTGTAACTGAAGGAGTAAAAAATTGAAGAAATTCATTCTACACAGCCTCTGTATTAATTGCAAAGTGAGAATTAAGATCAATTGAGAACACGAGCATCCTCCATTCAAAAAATATAAAGAAAGATTAAGTGTCTTGGGGACAGCAGGAGGTGAGAGGATAGGAAATGGAAGGGTAGGTGAGATGAAATATGTATTTTTAGTATAAACCAAGGTAGAGAAAGCACTCCAAAAAAAGGTTAAGGGTGGTAAAATATAAAAAATGATGACTCATAATGAGCCAGTGGAAGGAGTTCAAGGACTGAAGTCTGGTTATTAGACATGTCTGTACTATAATTACAGTTGAGCTAAACAGAATTGAGCTAAGAGACACTAGGAAAGGTGCATAAATGCAGGTATACATGCTTGTAAGTGTGTGTATACATATGTGCATGTGTCTTCTCCTAGGCTGTTGATTCTGTGGTGTTGGTTCCAACACTTAAGGACATTAGAAGTATTATACTTACGCGTCCTGATGATCACCTGAGAAAATCATAAGGTAATATATGAATAATCTATTCCTGGCATGTCAATTTCCCATGACCAAAATCACAAATAATATGCCTATTGGGGCACTTATAGCTATCGTAATTATGAATATCTAATTCATCACATTACTCTAAATCCTGCCGAACTTAATTTTCCTATTATACTATTCTTCCTATGAGCTCACCTTGATCCTGCTACTCCTGGAATGTATAATATCTAAGAAATTAGAGTACATATCCAAATTCCACTTTGGCCTACTATACTGTAAAATATCAGTTCTCTATACTGCACATTGAAATTTATTCTTAGGATCAAATCTTATACACTCGTAACCACACTGAAAAAGAATATGTGAAAACACTAACCTGGGGCAGATGCTACATGAGTCTGGGTTTGGACTTGCTCTATAGCTTGTGGCCTAATTTCAGATAACATTTGATGACTGGAACTTGGGTGTTCAATGAGTTTTACCGCAGCTAGTGCATCAGGGCCAAACATCTGAATATCCATAGAAACCAGACACACTAACATGTCTAAAATAAATAAAAAGCAATAGTTATTAGTCAATAATATTATAAATGAATGCCATCACTGGTGAACACATGTTGTACAGAATACTTATCAATGTGAATAAATGCTAGTCCATGAATCACAGTACATCAGAATTACCTGTGCATCTTTAAAAAAAAAGATTTTTAGGCTGGGCGTGGCGGCTCACACCTGTAATCCCAGCACTTTGGGAGGCGGAGGCGGGCGGATCATGAGATCAGGAGATTGAGATCATCCTGGCTAACATGGTGAAGCCCCATCTCTACTAAAAATACAAAAAAAAAAAATTAGCCGGGCATGGTGCCTGTAGTCCCAGCTACTCGGAAGGCTGAGGCAGGAGAATGGCATGAACCCAGGAGGCGGAGCTTGCAGTGAGCCAAGATCAGGCCACTGCACTCCAGCCTGGGCGACAGAGTGAGATTCTGTCTCAAAAAAAAAAAAAAACAAAACATTTTTAGGCTCAATCTCTGAAGACTGATTTAATAGCTCTGGAGTGGGAGCTGGATATCTATATCTATATCTATCTATCTATCTATATATTTTTTTTTGAGAAAGGATCTTGTTCTGTCACCCAGGCTGGAGTGCTGGCACGATCACAGCTCACTGCAGCCTCAACCTCCCAGGCTCAAGTGATCCTCCCACATCAGCCTCCCAAGCAGCTGGGAACTACAGGCATGCACCACTACATCTGGTTAATTTTATTTATTTTTCGTACAGATGAGATCTCACTATGTTGCCCAGGGTAATCTTGAACTGTGCTCAGGTGATTTTCCTGCCTTGGCCTCCCAAAGTGCTGGGATTACAGGTGTGAGCCACCATGCCCAGCAGTGGATATCTATATACTTGAAAAGATTCTCAAGTGATTCTGATGTGTAGCCAGATTTAAGAATCACTGATATGAAAAGTGACACATTAACTTCTCAATAAGAACAGTTTTCAAGCTGAATCTTTATTAACTCTGATTTTAATATTTATTATACCTAAGAAAGATATCATTTTAATCACCAAGTAAAACGTTAACATGGCATGTGTTAGTAAGTATATTTAAAACTGATAGCTCTTATGGAGGTGACTTCAATGATTTTTAAAGATTGCAGCACTACCAGCAACTTCTAGGAACAGAAGGAAACATATTTCACTTAGCTTTAATTGTTTAACAGTAGTAGCTGGCCATATGAAACAGAAAGACCTGCTCTCAGATAAGTTAGATATAGCAGTTTTGTCCATTTCAAATTTAATACGTAACAACAGAAATTAAGAGAAGAAATAGGAATTACTGATAGCCATGTAATCCTGGTTTCTAAATTATAGATGCTTCTTGCTCATTGAGCTACGCTTCTTCCAGAGTTGTATATTTCAAATTTAATAAAAATAAAAAATAAACAAGACAATGTTGCATAACGTTAAAGAATGTAATTATTGTAAAAATAGCCATCACTGAATTTAAAGCATAATAAAGAATAATGGAAACAAGTATGCCTGAGGAGGTAATGACTCTTCAAAATAAAACACTAAACCTCAAATATAAATTGAGGGTTTTGTACAGTACCATATTAAACACTTTTACTCAATAAAGAAAATAAGTGTTTTTTGGTCCAGTCTTACCTATGCTCTTTTCTACTTTTGCAATTTTTGTGCAAGCAACATCTCCCATTTCCGTGAGCATGTATAGCACCTCGAGTGTTGAGATTACAAGCAGCACATCAGGTAAAGTGAGATGACAAATGATCTCTCTGTAGGAATCCTGATCCACATATTCACAAATTAAAACACCATTATCTTCTGCTTTGCAAAGATTTCCCAAAATTTCCATGCCTGAAAAACATACAAATATGTATTACTAAGAAATGATAGTTTGTTTACTTTAGAAAGTAAATACTTCAGTGAAAACTCACCTCTCATCTTTAAAAATCTATCCCTTGACATTAGACATTTTGTAACAGTATGAAACATCAGATGAGTAGTTTTGAAATCAACAGGGTCCAGTAAAAGCTGGAAAAAGAAACAACACTATTATTGAGCTATGCTTCTTCCAGAGTTGTATACTTCAAATTTAATAAAAATAAAAAATAAACAGGACAATGTTGCATAACGTTAAAAAATGTTATTGTAAAAATAGCCATTTCTGAATTTAAAGCATCATTTCAAATACTTTTTTCCATAAAAGTATGTGATACTTCTACATCACCATTTTTAGCAACTAATACATGTAAGCATTTAATAGTCTATAAATATGGCAACTATAAAATGCCACATCCTAAAATTGTAACATAAATGTTGCTAACTATAAAAACTAGTTTAAGGTACAGTCACATGCTTACCTCAGCTGCAATATTTCCTAATGTGTCAAGGCCTAATTGCCTTAAAGAAATAAAATGACTATGTGCAGAAAGTAATAGGAAACGAAGACAGGTACGATTAGCTGCCAAGAGCTTAACATTGCCCTCCTCAAAGGAAAGATTTCTCAAAATCACTGCAATCTGAAGTACCCGCTGTCCTTCAATATCGTTAATGCCCAGCTTTCGAGGTGGATGAAATAAAGACTCCCAAATCCATTCTCCTGATGTACCTTCTACAATAGAAAATACATATTTCACTTAATATTTCATTTATTAATACTTCAAAGGTTTTGAAAAATTTTGCTTTCACTAACTTACCATGAGACTTGTTTCTGTCAGAAATGAGGTCACGAACTTCATTATCATCAACGATGTCTTTCCAAAACTGTAATGATAAATTATTTAATTCTCCATGATTTGAAACAACTATTCTATTGCTTTAGAAATAGTCACACACAGGCTAGGTATGGTGGCTCATGCCTGTAATCCCAGCACTTTAAGAGGCCAAGATGGGAGGATTACTTGCAGCTGGGAGTTTGAGACCTGCCTGGGCAGCAAAGAGACACCCCATCTCTACAAACTAGAAAATTTAAAACATTAGCCAGGAGTGGTGGCATGTGCCTGAAGTCCCAGCTACTTGGGAGGCTGAGGCAGGAGGATCACTTGAGGCCTGGAATTGAAGGCTGCAGGGAGCTGTGATTGTGCCACTGCACTCCAGCCTGGGCGGAAGAGTGAGACCCCATCTCAAAATTAAATTTAAAAATAAGTTTTAAAAAATAGTCACACAATATGAAAATAATGTTTCTACTTATTTTTAGTTCATGTGGATATTGCTACATTCTAGGGAATTAATTCTTTGATGTAAATATTTGATTGTCTATAGTTTCAGATACTTATATAAAAAGGCATCTTTTTATGTTTAGGGCTTTTTAACCTGAGGGCCACAGACGACTAAAGGGACTGTGAAAGAAATCAGAAATCTGTGAACTTGGATGGGGGAAAAATGACATCTCTATGTACATTAAACACTACTGGAAATTTGACATTTCTTTTTTGTTTTTGTTTTTTTTTTTGAGATGGAGTTTCGCTCTTTTCACCCAGGCTGGAGTGCAATGGCACCATCTCGGCTCACTGCAACCTCCACCTCCCGGGTTCAAGTGATTCCCCTACCTCAGCCTCCCGAGTAGCTGGAATTATAGGCACGCGCCACCACGCCCAACTAATTTTTGTATTTTTAGTAGAGATGGGGTTTCACCATGTTGGCCAGGATGGTCTCAATCTCTTGACCTTGTGATCCGCCTGCCTCTGCCTCCCAAAGTGCTGGGATTACAGGCATGAGCCACAGCGCCCGGCCTGGAAATCTGACATTTCTTTAGAATTTCTTCAACTCTGAATATTAAGCAATGAACTATAGTAATATTAGCAGTATCTGTGACATTATGTGTATATTTCAAAACAACTGGGTTTTTTTTTTGGAATCAAAGTTCTTAGGCATTTAAAACCATTAGTTGGAAAAAGGCTTACTGGCTTCATGTGATCATCAAAGAAATCCATTGCACAAAAAATCTATGACAAACAATGTTTGGTAGCAATAAAAAAGAAGTAGGCACATTTTTTTAAAAGACAATGTTCAATAACCAAGAAAGAAGGGCCACAAGAATTCAGATATTAAAGATATCAGACACAAAACTTAAAATGACAATGAATAGTAAGTTCAAAGAAATAAAAAACTAAAAATTTTGGCAAAGGAATTAAAACTATATGAAAGAACTAAAAAGAAATTCTACAACTGAAAAACATAACTAAAATTAAGAATTCAGTGGATATGTTTAAGAACTGATTAGATACAACCCAAGAGTGAATTTATGAGCAAGAAGAGAGGGCAAGTAAATAAGTTTGAAGTATAAAGAGACAAAAGGATGAAGAGAAAAAAAGTGTATGAGACATAAGGCACACAGTGAAAAGTTCTAACATACAAATAATTGGAGTTCCTGAAGAAGAGAAAGAATGGGCAGACAGAATATGTGACAATGTAAGGGCAGAAAATTATTCTAAAATAACTGAAAAATGTTAACCTATATATTTCAGAAGCACTACAAACTCCAAGAAAGATAAAAAAAGAAAAAAGCTGTGGAAACGTCATCATAAAACTCCTGAAGAACAAAGAGAAAAATCACAATGGGATATTTTCAAAATGATGGAAGAAAATATCTGCCAACGTATTTCTTTTCATTGAGACGGAATCTCGCTCTATCACCCAGGCTAGAGTGCAATGGCGTGATCTCAGCTCACTGCAACCTTTGCCTCCCAGGTTCAAGCGATTCTGCCTCAACCTCCCAAGTAGCTGGGATTATAGGTGCGTGCCACCATGCCCAACTAATTTTTGTACTTTTAGGAGAGATGGGGTTTCACCATGTTGGTCAGGCTGGTCGTGAAGTCCTAACCTCAGGTGATCCGCCCATCTCGGCCTCCCAAAGTGCTGGGATTACATGGGATTACAGGCGTGAGCCACTGTACCCAGCCTGCCAACATAGAATTTTTTAAATAGTGAAACTGTTCCTCAAGAATGAAAGTGACATAAAAACATTTTCTGACAAATAAAAAACAGAAAAGCTCATTATCTACAATCTAAGGAAGAATAAATGATAAAGGTAACTGTGGTTAAGCCAAATTAAAACACTTTCAAAAAGTCATGGGGTAGAAAAAAAAAAAAGGTAAATTTAAAATTTAGAAAAATACTTTCAAGTGACTATTTATTTAGGCCATATGGAGTATGGTACTGGAGTAGTCATCCTACCAAAACCCAACATGTATGAAAAAACTGTTTTCAGAGATTGGAAAAAAGGTAATGCAAGACTGTAATCACTGAACAAGAGAAACAAATGAGGTTATTCCAATGATTGACTGGTATTTTTATTTGGACATTAATTCTAGACTAAAGCATAAGGAAGAGAAACCCAAGATATCATAGTGATTGCTAAGCTGAAAACACTGAACAGAGCACAGCAAAGCTAAGGAGGCTAGAATATGAGAGCAAATTTTCAATAAGGGAAGAGTTATGCAGAGAAAGAGCTCCATGAATCTACATACATATACTTTGAGTTCATTGCTAAGTATTAAGTTACACAGATGTATGCTCAAACTCCACAATGCTAGTCAAAAAACTGGAGAGAACAATTATAAGAGGCTGTAATTAAACAATTCCTAGAATAGAGAAAACTCATATACACCTAGCTCTTTCAGGAGAAATTCCCAAAATGTCATACCTAAGTAGAAGGAATAAACAAGCCCTAGAGTAAAGGCTAATCTACATATGTCATAAAGCTTTAAAACAACCCTACTCTGATAATCCATATATGAACTAACAGCCTGCTAAAACAAAGTTCAACATTCTGGAAAAATGCCAAAGTTCAGACACTCAACAATGTCACACTCACACAACACTCACATCTAATAAAAAATTACCACACCTACAAAGAAATGAGGACCCATAACCAAGACAAAAATCAGTTTCAAGAAAAATAAGATAGTGAAATAACAAAGATAACAAGAAAATTAACAATGACATTAAAAAACTATTAAGTATGTTCAGTGATATAAAAATATGAACATAATTAGCAAATAAATGGATAATATAGGACAATCAAATAAAATTTCTTGAGCTGGAAAATGTAATACAGATGTTCCTTGACTTATGATGGGGTTATGTCCCAATAAACCCATAGTAAGTCTAAAACATCGTAATGCATTTAATACCCCCAATAAAACCATAGTAAAGTCAAAAAAACTAAGTTTATCATAACTTGGGGACCATCTGTATCTGCAAATAAAGAAAATATACAAGATTTGCTTAACTAGAAAAGATGAATGCATAACAATAGAAAATATCCACAATTAAGTACACAGAAAACAAAAAAGGTCTAAAAATACTGAAAAGAGCTTCAGTGACCTGTGGAACACCCCCATGATCTAATATACATATTCAGTCATCCCTCAGTATCTGTGGGGACTGGTTCTAGGACTCTCCAAAGATATCAAATTTTCCACATGCTCAAGTTCCTCATATAAAATGGTATAGCAGTATAGTATTTGCATATAACCTACAAACATCCTCCTGTGTACTTTAAATACAGTATACCTAATACAGTGTAACGTGAAGTAAATAGTTGTTGCACTGTCTTCTTTTAATTTTTTAGTTTTATTACTTTTTACTGTTTTTTAAATTGCTTTTTTCCCCAAATATTTTCAATCTGTGATTGGTTAAATCTATGGATGCAGAACCCATGGATTCAGAGACCAGACTGTAAATGTAGTACCAGGAAAAGAAGAGGGGTCTGGGTGTGGTGGTGGATGCCTATAGTCCCAGCTACTTGGGAGGCTGAGGCAGGAGGATTGCTTGAACTCACGTGTTCAAGGTTGCAGTGAGCTATAATTGTACCACTGCACTCCAGCCTGGGTAGCGAAGCAAGACCCTGTCTCTAAAACAAACAAAACAAAAAAAACAAGAGGGGAAAGAAAAATATTGGAAGAAGTGATTGTGAAAAACTCTCCAAATTTTACGTAAGATACCAAACCACAGATCCAAGAAACTAAATGAACCCCAAGTAAAATAAGCAATGAAACTGCAAGGCATATCATAACCAAATTAAATATCAGTAATAAAGAGAACATATTAAAAGTAGTGAGAGTCTACAATACATATACAAGAGCAATAAGAAAAAAGTTGACTTCTTGTCAATAAGAATGCTATCTTTAAAGTGCTCAGACAAAACCCTAAAACCTACAGTTTTATATGCATCAAAAATATCCTTGAAACATGAAGGCAAAATAAAATTTTTAGATAAATAAAAGTTGAGAGCCTAAACTCAACTACATCATTAATTTCCTAAAGTGTAAATGGGCTTAATGCACTGACTTAAAGGCAGAAATCACAGAAAAGGCAGACTGTGGGGAGGAGGAAAATAAGTGCTAACTATATGGTATCTAAAGAAACGCTATGTATAAAAACACAGAAAAAAACTATAAAGATGGGAAAAATATATTATGACAACATAATAAGAAAGCTGTAGCTAAGTTTCATACATAATGTTTTTTAAAAGTTAATTCATCATGAAAATATATCAACTGTAAATGTGTATGCAACTAACAACAGAGGTTCAAAAGACGTAAGGTAAAAACTGACAGAACTGAAAGGATATATAAACATTCATAATTACAGTTGATGATTTCAACATTCACATCTCAGGAAATTGTAGAACAACTGAACTGAACTCATGGAGATGGAGAGTAGAATGATGGTTACCAGAGGCTGGGGCAAAGTAGGAATGGTTAATAGGTACAAAAATATAGCTGGACAGAATGAATAAGATTTAGTATCTGATAGCAAAACAGAGTGACTACAATAATTTATAGTATGTTTAAAAATAACTAAAAATGTATAAGTGGAATGTTTATAGCACAAAGAAATGATGTTTGAGGTGAAGAATACCCCATTTACCCTGATGTGATCATTAAACACTGTATACCTATTTCAAAATATCTCCTGTATCCCTAAATATATGAACCTACTACATATCCATAACAATTAAAAACTTAAATAAATAACCCACGTAGAGGAAATCACAGTGGAAATGAGAAGATACTCAGTTGTAATGAACGCATGACATATCAAATTGGTAGAATAAAGTTAAGCTGTGCTTAGAGGTAATTTTGTGGTCTTAATTGTATGTATTAGAATGTACATATTAAAAAAATAAAAACAACAATCAATCGTGTAAGCACCAGCTCTAATTCCTAACAAGTTAGAAAAAGTGCAGCAATAGAAAGATATATGAAAAGCAGAAATTAATGAAAACACATACAACAGCAGGAAACATCTAATCTTCCTCAATTATATTTGTGTTTTCTTCTAATGCCTTTTTTTTTTTTTTTGACAGAGTCTCGTTCTGTCACTAGTGGCATGATCTCGGCTCACTGCAACCTCTGCCTCCTGGGCTCAAGTGATTCTCCTGCCTCAGCCTCCTGAGTAGCTGGGATTGCAGGTGCCCGCCAAAATGCCCAGCTAATTTTTTTGTATTTTTAGTAGAGATGGGCTTTTGCCATGTTGGCCAGGCTGGTCTCAAACTCCTGACCTCAAATGATCTGCCCACCTGAGCTTCCCAAAGTCAAAGTGTTGGGATTATAGGCGTGAGCCACCGTGCCCAGCCATTTGTGTTTTCTTGATTTCATGTGATTAGTGATTATACTGATAACTGCCACTCCCCATTGTGACTGGGTATTTATTTAAACACTTTGTGCAATTTACACTTTCATCACTAATTTTCTGGAGTTAAAAAAAAAAGTATATAATTCTATAACCAAATGGTTTCGCTCTTGATGCAGTGTAGTGAGGACAGAATATAGGACCCTGGGTCAGTTTATGAAGTGGGGAATTAGGAATGCAGCTCTGTATCATGGTGAAAACTTTGAAGATCTAATACCTTCAAAGAAAAGGAGGCAAAAGGGCTTGACTGTCTCTACCGTAGTTTTGGGTTAAAAATAATGCCCCAAATTTTGTACCACTGGCCTACTCCCCAATCTCCATTGATTTGGTTTTAGTAACTACTCGAGTTACCCGAAAATCAATGAAGAAATTAATACAGTCATTCTGAACCAGTATTTCTCTGTAGATGATTGGCAATTGCAATAGAGTAGTGGAAGAATGAACTTTCAATCCAATCTGTACAAAAACCCTACAAAAACTGGTCTGCTGAAATTTGTAACCAATATTATAAAACAGAAGGGAATATTCCACCATGGAATAAGTAAAATTAGTCACAACAGCTTTAGATATTAGAACAATCAAGTGTATTTAATTTTTAATTTACATATTATATATTTATATATTTTGTTTCTATATATTTATATAATTCAAATTAATTTATTAAAAGATTTTTAAAAATCTTCAAAATTATTAAAAACATAAAAAAGAAGATCAAAAGGGCAAATCTAAAATAGGATGGAGAGAATTTCTAGAAATTAAAACATGATCACTAAAATAGAAATTTAACAAATAAGTCAAGCAGCATATTAGGCACAGCTGAAAATGATTAAGGAACAAGCCTAAGGAAATTACCCAGAATGCTGCTCAGAATTAAGAGAAGGTCAGAAATTGATTAAAAAAAAAAAAAAAAGAAGAAGAAAGATAACCTAGAAGAAAAGGCAGAAAACAATAGAATGACAATAATACAAGAAAAATATAACTTATAATCTACAATCTATAAATGGAACATGGACAAAAATAAAGACAAGATAACCTAGAAGAAAACGCAAAAAACAACAGAATGACAATAATACAATAAAAATATAACTTATAATCTACAATCTATAAATGGAACATGGACAAAAATAAGGACAATTATAAAACTCAGAATTTTATCAATAAAATATCTTCATTGAAAGATCTAGTTAAAGATGTGTTATACTGTGAAAAAAACACATACTCAGAAGGGAGATGAAATACACAAGAAAGAATGAGGACAGAAAAATAAGATTAAAAGATCTGCTTTCTGGGGTTTTAAATTGCATAGAGGTATAAAAACAAAAATAACATTTTTAGCAATGAGCTACACATAAAAATAGGAAAATAAATATTTTCTCTAATTAGAAAACACAAATTTTTACTGAAATGTAGTAGGAAGAATTTCAGTTTCTTGACTAAAAATCTGGTACTTTCAAGCCCTAACGGGGCAAATAAACCAATGAAAAAGAATCTAGAAAAAGATCTATACATATATGATTGGTGGATTTATGACAATGGTGATACTGCAACACAGTTTTTAAAACAAATATTGTAGGTTCAAGTGGGTATCCATATGAGGGAAAAAAACCAAATCTTTACTCCTGGCTTATACCACATACACAAAAACACAATAAAAATTATAGATCTAAGTGTGAAAAGTAAAACAGAAAAAAACACATTCTGTTTTTGACCTCATGGTTGGCAAAATTTTGTAACTAGAACTAAAAAATGGCCAACTTCCAGAAAAATTGATGTTAAACTACATTAAAATTAAGTTATGTAAGTTCATCAAAAGACACCATTCAAGAATGAAAAGGCAAGCTAGAGAGAAAATATTTCCAACATCTTAAAAAGAAATTTTATCCAAAATATAGAAAAAAAACTCTTACAAATCAAAAAGATAATTATTTAAAAATGGACAAAATATAGGCACTGCCTAAAAGAAGCTATCAAAATTGCCAAAGGTATTCTAGTTCTCATCAAACAAGAAAAAATGTAAATTAAAACCAAGCTACAGTAACAATGCACACTCACTGTAATAGTTAAAATGAAAGAGACTGACAATACCAAATACTGTCAACAACGAGGAACTGGAACCGACATACTACTGCTGAGAAGGTAAAACTGTACAACTGCTTTGAAACATGTTTGGTAGTATCTACCAAAGCTGAATACAGATATGCATACCCTATGACCTAGCAATTAACACTCCTAGGTCAATTACCCAACAAAAATGCATGCATATATTTACCAAAATGCATATATAAAACCCTTCATAGCAAAATTATTTGTGTCCAACCTGGAAATAACTAAATCCTTATTGCTTTTTACAGTAGAACAAATTGCTGCATATTCATGCAATGTAACATTATACAACAATAGAAATGAATGAAATACAAATACTTGCAACGATATGCATGAAACTTTCACAAACATGATGTTGAACAAAAGAAAAAAAGAGAAGTAGAATAAGGAAGAAAGGTTAACAGATAAGGGAGTGAATGAAGAAGTGACTGAAAGGGGGAATGAATAGGCGTACTTCAGAGGTGTTGATAATGTTCTAATTCTTCATCTGGGTAACGATTACATGAGTGTATTCACTTTATAAACACATCTTGAGGTGTATACTTATGTATGTGTTATACATATACACTAAGTATGTGTTATAATTTAAAAAGTACTTATAGGAGTCCAAAAAAGATAATATATTAAATTACAAAGTCAATGCATCCTGAAGCTTAGTTTTAATACATATAATAATACGATTAACATATCTTTTGTCATTAATTAAAATTTTCTGTTAACTGCATATTCACAGCTGAAACAGGCACATTTGTCTGCTACTACTTTTCCTTTTGTTTACCATGGTCCTGCACATAAGCATACTTTCTATACCTCAAACTAAATTTGTTCTTACCTCAGAACATTTGCATTTGCTATTCCCTCTGTCAGAAAGACTCTTCCTCTGCAGTGCTGGTCACCTATTATCATTCAAACCTACTAAAAATCATCAGATATTACCTCCTGAGGGAAGCCTTTCTGGTCATATTATCTAACGTTACCATACACTCACATGTCTTATAACTCTCTATCACATTGTCTTGCTTTATTTTCTTCACAATACTTGCAAAAGCCTCAAATAACATTGTTTACTTTTATTGTCTGTTTTCCTATCATAGAATGGAAATTTGCTGAGAGGGGAGACCTTGTTTTCCCAGTGTCTGGAAAAGTATTGGCACACAGAAAATAGTAAATATTTTTTAAATAAATGAATTAATGTACAAAATATTTTACCAAATAAATTAGTTCAAGTATTTTTTTCTCTGAAATAAGGTGACTTAAAGCTATTAATCCGATAATTCTTATCAGATATTATCAGATAAATGTCATAAACATTTTAACTAATTATACAATATTTTATGTAGCAATAGGCCTAGCTATTTTGGGCTACAAACTTAATTCTGGATAACAATATGAAAAGTGTAACTTTACCACAAAATTCAGTTAAGATGGTATACTTCTTGTGAAGGATCTAGTATACTCTTTGACTTGCAAATTTGTCTTGGAGTTAACTTAAGAAAAAACGTTTTTTATACTTGTGGGCCTGGATGTGAGTACGTACATCCCAGGTAGGTTGATAATAAGAAGAAATGGAAACAATCTAAATTTCTGAAAATATGGATTATTTACATGAATTATGAAATGTGTAATATGAATGAAGTAGCCATTAAAATACTAAACATTAAGGATGAGAAGAAAATCTAACATTGTAATAAGTGAAAAGAACAGGTTACAAATTAAATTCTGAATAAAACTTTTGCTTTAAATAATATGCATAGAAAAGACTCGATAGATGTATATAAGGATATTAATGGTGTTTATTTCTGAATGGGTGTGATTAATAATGGTTTTAATATCTGCCCTTTGCTGTAAATTCTAGCTTTTCCACAGCATGCATCAATTACTTCTATAAGGGAGCAGACAGGGTGGTTCATGCTTATAATCCCAGCACTCTGGGAGGCCGAGGCAGGAGGACTGCTTGAGAACAGGAGTTTGAGACTACCTTGAGGAACATATCAAGACTCTATCTCTACAAAAAAATAAAAAATAAGTTAGCCAAGCATGGTGGCAGGAGTCTGTAATCTTAGCTACTTGGGAGCCTGAGGCAGGAGGATCCCTTGGGCCGAGGACATTGCAATGAACTACAATGGCACCACTGGACTCTAGCCTGGGTGATAAGAGTAAGACTGTCTCAAAGAAAAATAAATAAATAAAAAATAAAGACTAACCTCTGTAAAACCAGGAAAACATTTCTCTCTCTCTCTCTTTTCCCACTATTTAACTATTAATTCAAATATTACCAGCTCGTTAAAATAAAATTCATGTATACATCTCTGAAGAGACATTATAGGTTCCTATTTGTTGAAATACTTTACAGTGGAACTGTTTTGTAAAAAAACTGTGTAAACAGAAAAATGATAAAGAGAACTACGTAAAGTGTTTAATATATAGTCTATATTAACTTTTAATTCAAGTAAAAATATGTTTATGATAGAAAAACAAATCTACATGACAACTAATACTTAATATAAAATTATTTTTATATAAGCCATTGATGCTAAATGCCTAACTATAACTCTTTAATTTTATCTCTTCTTAGGTAAAGAAAAAGTTCCATTATAAAAGAAAAATGCCCTAGTGGGAATATACGTTAGAAACCAAGCCTGTAAGGATTTTCTAACTATTTAAACATCTAAAATCTACAAAAAATTCAATAAATCATACTGATCTACATGAAAGTTTCCAGAAAGTCTTTTTTTTTTCCCCTTAAAGACAGGGTCTCACTCTGTTACTCATGGTGGAGTGCAGTGGTACAATCATAGCTCACTACAGTGTCTAACTCCAGAGCTCAAGCAATCCTTCTGCCTCAGCCTCCCAAGTAGCTGGAACTACAATCATGCACCACGATGCCCAACTAATTATTTTTTTTCTTTGTAGAGACGAGGTCTCATTATATTGCCCAGGCTAGTCTTGAACTCTTGGGCTCAACCAATCCTCCTAACTTGTCCTCTAAAATTGTCAAGTAAGTCTTGATGCATTAAAGACAATTTATAATACTTAAAATAGACTGCTAAAGAATAAAGTTTTTGATTAGTTGAAGCTTATCATTAGCAGTTTTTGTTAGTTAAACCTAAAGACTAGCAATAAAGAAAAGCTAAAATGCCACTAGAAAAATCTACTTAACAGTTACCATTTCCTAAAATGACTCCCTTTTAATACAAATTTGCAAGATAGCTCAATAACAAATTTTATGGACATATAACAACTGTATGTACTTATGGGGTACCTGTGATATTTTAATACATGCATACAATGTGTAATAATCAAATAATGGTATTTGGGATATGCATCACCTCATATATTTATCATTTCTTTGTGTTGGGAGCATTTCAAATCTTCTCTTCTTACTATTTTGAAATATAAACTATTGATAACTATAGTCATGCTACTGTCCTATAAAACACTAGAATTTATTATTTATTCTTTCTAACTAGGTATTTGTACTCATTAACCAACCTCTCTTTGTACATCACCCTCTGACCCTTCCTAGCCTCTGGTAACCACCAATCTACTCTACCTCCAAAATATCAACAAGTTTGGCTCCCACATACGAGTGAGAACATGAAATATTTCTCACTCTGTGCCTAGGTTTTCATTGAACATAATGACCTCCAGTTCCAACCACATTGCTACAAAAATAGCACATTTTCATTCCTTTTAGGGCTGAATAGTATTTCATTTTATATATACATATATATATATATATGTATATATATAACTTTATTCATTCACCTGTTACTGGATACTTCAGTCAATTTCATATCTTGGCTATTGTGAATAATGCTGCAATGCACATTGACGGCACAGGTATTCCTTTGATATACTATTTCCTCTCCTTTGGATAAATACCCAGTAGTGGGATACCGTTTTCCATAATGGCTATATTACTTACTTTCCCATCAACAGTGTATGAGTTCCCTTTTATCCACATTATTACCAGCATTTGTTATTTTGCTGCCTTTCTGACAACAGCCATTCTAACTGGGGTGAGATGATATCTCATTGTGGTTCTCATTTACATTTTCCTGATGATTAGTGATGTTGAGCAATTTTTCATATATATTTTGGCCATTTGTAAGTCTTTTTTTTAAGAAATGTATCCTGCAACTTTACTGAAGTTTTATTCCTTTCTCTTGCTTGATTCCTTTGGCTAGGACTTCCAATACAATGTTGAATGAGAGTGGTGCAAGTGAGTGTCCTCATCTTATTTCAGTTTTTCAAGGAAAAGCTTTCAGTTTTTCCCCTATTTGGTATGATGATTATCTCAAAAGATGCAAAAAAAGCATTTGATAAAATTTAACATTTCTTCTTGATAAAAATTTTCAAGAAATTAGGCATAGAAGAAACATACCTCAAAACAATAAAAGCCACGTATGACAAATCTACAACTGAGATGATCATATTTTTGTCCTTCATTCTGTTGATGTGATGTATCACATTTATTGATTTGCATCCTTACATCCCTGGGATAAATCCAGCTTAATGATGGTGCACTGTCTTTTTGATATGTTGTTGGATTTGGTTTGCTAGCATTTTGTTGAGGACTTTTGCATCTATGTTCGTCACAGATACTGACCTCCAGTTTTCTTTTTCTGTTGTGTACTTGCCTGGTTTTGGTATCAGAGTAGTATTGGCCTCAAAGAATGAGTTAAGGAGAGTTCTCTCCCCTTCAGATTTTTGGAATAGTTAGAGAAGAACTGGTGTTGGTTCTTCTTTATAAGTTTGGAAGAATTCAGCCATAAGCCATCCGGTCCTGGGCTTTTCTTCATTGAGAAACTTTTTATTACTGATTCAATCTTGTTACTCTTTATTGGTCTGGTGAGGCCATTACTTCCTGGTTCAATCTTGATGGGTTGTATGTGTCCAAGTATTTATCCATTTTTTCTAGGTTTTCCAATTCATTAGCATAATATTTCAGCATAGTCTCTAATGATCCTTTATATTTCTGTAGTATCAGCTGTAATGTCTCCTTTTATGTTTCTGACTTTATTTGAGTCTTCTCTCTTTTTTCTTAGCTATTCTAGCTAGTGGTTTCTCAATTTTGTTTATCTTATCAAAAAACAACTTTTTGTTTTGTTGATCCTTTGTCTTTTTCGTCTCCATTTCAATTAGTTCTGGTCTGATCTTTAGAATTTCTTTCCTCTACTAATTTTGGGTTTGGTTTGGTTTGCTTTTCTAGTTCCTTAAGGTGTATCATTAGGTTGTTTATTTGAAATCTTTCTACTTTTTTGATGTAGGCATATATTGCTATAAGCTTCCCTCTTAGGACTGCTTCTGCTGTATCCAATGGGTTTTGGCATATTGTGTTTCCATTTTAAATTTCCTTCTTAACTTCTTCCTTGATGCCCAATAGTCATTCAGGAGCACGTTAATTTTCTTGTATTAACATCTGTACAGTTTCCAAAGTTCCTCTTATTATTGATTTCTACTTTTATTCCATTGCGATATAAGAAGACACTTGATACTATTTCAATTTTTAAACATTTGTTGAGATTGTATTGTGGCATACGATATGGTCTATCCCAGAGACTGTTCCATGTGCTGATGAGAAGAATGTATATTCTACAGTTGTTGGATAAAATAGTCTATAAATGTCTATTAGGTCCATTTGGTCTATAGTGCAGATTAAGTCTGATGTTTCTTTACTGATTTTCTATCTAGATGATCTGTCCAATGCTGAAAGTGAGTAAAGTCCCGAACTATAATTGTATTGGGGTCTCTTTTTAGCTCTACTAATATTTGCTTTATACATCTGGGGCCTCCAGTGTTGAGTGCATATATGATTGTTACATACATCCTTTTGCTGTATTGATCCCTTGTTTCATTATATAATTACCTTTTTTGTCTCTTTTTGTTCTGTGACTTAGTCTATTTTGTCTGGACAATATCAAAATTTTTACAACTGATTTTTAATATTTAAGTGATTAATCAAACACCATTAAATAAATGAAAATAAAAAATAAAGTAGTTCCCTAAAACACCATGCTATCATTTTATTTTTTATTTATTTTTATTGATTTATCGGTTGATTTTAGAGACAGGTCTTGCTCTGTCACCCAGACTAGAGTGCAGTGGCACAATTATAGCTCACTGCAGCCTCAAATTCCCAGGCTCAAGCAAGCAATCCTCCCACCTCAACCTCCCTAGTAGCTGGGACTACAGGCGCACACAACCACGCCCAGCTAATTCTTTAATATTTTTGTATAATGAAGTAAAAAATATATACTTTTTTTTGTAGGGATGGGGTCTTGCTTTGTTGCTCAGGCTTGTCTTGAACTCCTAGCTTCAAGCGATTTTCCCACCTCAGCCTCCTAAGGTGCTGGGATTACAGGTGTGAGACACCACACCCAGCCCAAGAGAGCTACTTTTAAGAAACAAAGTGGATAGATTTAGAAATTTTAGCTGAAGTTGCAGCAAGAATGAAGAGTAATCATACTTGAATGTATCTCATGAGTTTTAAAGAAAAGGTGTTTAAACAATAATGTTCTATTAATAGTAATACTATAAAATGTACCCTTGGAGAGTAAATAAAAGAAGCATCCTATATTTCCTTGAAAGCCAGCAAAGTTAGACAAGTGTTAAGTGAGAAAACAATTTGTTCAAGTCTTTTTGTAGTTTCTCACTTGAAATTCACAACTATATTTTGTTTCAGAAATATATTCCCAGAAATTTTCCTCTAGATGGACACTTACTAATCTTTTACACCTATTCTTTTTGAGGATTTGATGGCAGGTCTGGCCCTTCATTCCTTTCTGAATTGCATAGTTTCAGAACACACATAAAAACGAAAACTTCCTGAAACCCATTCTCAGAATCCCAGTTGAGAAGAGGGTCATTCAATTGTTTACTGCTATTGTTGTTACTATTCACAGAAATCAATGAAAATTTTATGTCTGTTCGTGGGTATTCTAAAAGATTTTTCACTCAACTCAATCACAACTTTAAAATCGTTGTGTATGGCATATGTATTAGGTAAAGATAAAAGTATAGGTAGTATTATGTATATTAAATAAGCAACCACTGATCTATTGTTGGCTTAGCTGCATGTAACTCAATGAATCAACATTTTAATTAAAATGATTTACCTTAACGAAGTCTCTATCAGTCTTCTCTTTCCATTCTTCTCCAAATACAGTGGAAAAGGATCCTAAAGCTAAAAAACAAATAAATAAATAGTACATTCAATAAAATGCAATAAATTCTTTCAATTAATTATTTAATAATAGGCTTGGAAAAACAACAAAACTACATCTTAATATATCTTGTGTACTAAAAATTATTTTATAGTAAATGATAGTCATGATAATTTCTTTTGAAATACATTGTTTTTAGATTTAAAGAAAATTTGTGTTCCTACAAATTAATAATATAGACTCTTTTTCATAATAATTATACAGATAATAAAGAAGTGAAGAGTACTTAAGAGTTACTCCACACTGGCTTTCATTTATACAGAAGAAAAATCTTAAAAAAGCAAACTGAGGTTATTGCTATTAAATTTCCAGGTTATCATTTAAAATCTTCATATTAATTTCAGAAATACTTGCATAATTCACACTTCAAAAAACATAGAGAGCAAGGCACTCCATGGAAATAATTCCCACAATTCCCATAAATCTCCTTTAAGGAAAATTCTGAGGCCTACATCACGCTTGTGTTTCTCGATAAAGTTGCTTTATCAACAACTTTATGACTTTTGAAAAGTCAAACCATCTGTTTTCGTAAGCTTCTTCTTAATAACGCTCTGTCTCTCATCCACATGTGGCCCTCACTTCCCCACCAAAAAACTTAAGGCACATAGATAAGTACATCCTGTGTTATTTTTTCTCCTTCATGCTGCTAGCTCGAATTGTCAATATGGGATCAGACTATAAAGCAGTATGATTCAAATGTCTAAGCTGTGATACAATGTATTTTTCCCCTTAAAAATTAAGTGAATCCTTTATCAACTATCACATTAGCTCCGTAATGAAAGTTACTGCTTTTAGAAACCAAAAGAAAATTATATAATGACAACTGTTAACAGAAAAACTAGCTGTTATGAACGTTAATCTTTAAAAAAACAAAATCTTAAGCTTCCTTATTGGACGTGTTATGACAAGCATAACAAGTGGGTATGTTTTCTCTCATAAGAGATTTATGGACTCTTGGCAGTCTTATTACCTTTTAAGTATGAACCTAATATTTAGTTAAAATTGAGTAAAATAAAGTTTGTAAAGTACTCTGGCTAGAATAAGAATTTTCATCTTACAAAATATTTAAAAGGGTGAGAAACAGCAACATTTTAAACATAAATTATATTTACTAATGATTTTACTACTGACCTTAGGGTCGTGAGGAAATAATATAAAGAACAGATGTAAATGTTTTGAATAAACAAATTAACTACAGTGACCTCAAAAAGCATTTCATAAAATATCAAATTTATACATAAGTAGCAGCTTAACCAGCAAAATGAAGCCCACACACCACTAAAGACAGACAAAGTTTTCTTTGTCCTGAAAAATCCTTATAAAAAACTTCCCTAGGGGCCGGGCATGGTGGCTCACACCTGTAATCCCAGCACTCTGGGAGGCCGAGGCGGGCAGATCACTTGAGGACAGGAGTTTGAGATTGGCCTGGCCAACATGAGGAAACCCTGTCTCTACTAAAAATATAAAAATTAGCCAGGTGTGGTGGTGCTCACTCGTAGTCCTAGCTACTTGGGAGGCTAAGGCACGAGACTCACTTGAACCTTGGAGGCGGAGGTTGCAGTGAGCCAAGACTGCATCACTGCATTCCAGCCTAGGGGACAGAGCAAGGTTCTGTCTCTTAAAAAAAAAAAACCCAAAAAAACAAACAAAAAACCCACCAAGCAAATAACATCCCTGGGAAAACAATATAGGGCAGAAATATAAAATTGAAAAATGAAATTTCTTGTCACATAGAATTTTTATTATACTTCTTCAAACACACAAAATATGTAAATATTCTACTTTCTAAAAGAAGTGGCATCTATATTTCTCTCTCAATTAAAATCTCATGCCCTAAAAATCAAATTGAAGCCTCTCAAAGTCTAACCAAATAAAATATGTCTACAACCTTCAAACTCCAAAGGAATTATTTTTGTCATATAAAACTATTGTTTTAAATATAAGGTCTTCATAAAGTCCCTATGTACTGTGGAACTAAACTTTCTGTGACTTCAAATGATAGAAACTATACCCAAATGGCACTTGCTAAATTAATGCGGTTTTGCATTATTATACTACACAATAATTTAGTCTTTTAAACAAACAAAATGCCTGAAGAATGCATGAAGATAAATTAGGTCTAAACAAGGTCTTGTCTTAGAGCACCCAAACTGGTAAGATTACTTCTATCATATACCCAACTTAAATTATTTACATGTAATCCTATTCAAAGATTAAATGTTAAGACTTAAAATTATTCTGGTTTGAAAATATACATTCTTTTCAAAGGCTTCATTTTAAGGTTTCTAAAAAATGTGAAACAATTTTCAACTCCATTCTACAATAAATGCTGAAAGTTGTATTTGGAAGATCAAAATAGAATAACGGAAATCAAAGAATATAAAAGTGATGTGAAAAGCCATCAAATTTATATCTTCAAAGTTATGACAGAAACTGAGAACTAACCATCTTTCTTCCCACATCCCCATCCATGTAATCAAGAATAGTTTTGGGCAAGTTAAGAAACTAATTTTTACTTTTATTTAATTTCAAAATCATTTTCAATATAAAATATGTGCCAAATTTCAAAGAATCCTACCTAAATAATCCCAAATAAAACACTACTTGACCCAAATCAAATTGCAGAGAAATAAATTCTTTTGCAAACATCTCACTAAAGATAAAAACAAAAAGTCATAAAATGTTATAACAAGTTCTCTCAAAGACTCTGCTACTGTGCTATATATATAATTTCCTAAAAGATAAAATACTTTTGATGTATGTCAATACCTTATTCTTGAATAGGATATACTTCTGGCAAAAAATGGGGTTGGAGTTGGGGAGAGTCGGAAAGCAAGAAATAACTTTATACCAATAACTTCAGCTAACACAGATATTTTACAAAAGAAAAACTGAGCAGGGAAAGATTTCAAAATATTATTTCTAAATCTTTATTAAACTGCAAGAGAAAACTGAGTAATTTGCTCTGTGTGATAATCTAGCCTTAATAGGTAATTTCAGAAGAGATGAAGAATTTGATTTATCAAAACCCACAACTAGCAAACCCTACAAGTAAAAATGATATGAAGCCTTTGATAAGCCTTACGTTGATGATTTAGAAGACAAATTTTCAAATGCATTGACCTAAAATGTTTTAGTTAAAAATTATAGCCACACATTAGCAGTAATAGACTTCAGAAAACAATTTCTTCCAGATCCTAGTTTTCTTTGTCAAAATCTTGTAGCAAGCAATCGTCTCAACTCAGGAAATCTATATATTACTCCAACTTAAAAACCAGGACTTTTACTTCAAAAACACTGAGACAAAATTACTATTCAAATATTTAAGGTTAAAACCCCCCAAACATTCATTATCTTAAATAATGCATAATATAAAAACAGAAAATAAAGAATGCTATTATGTTGACAAACAAAAAGTACTTTCTCCTTAAAAACCTTAAAAAAAAAACTTTTACAGAAGAATTATATAATACATTCAGCTTAAAACTTACTGTCGTCAAACACCCCGGCATTAGCAAGTAGTAAAGTGATGATTTTAGGATCTTTTTCAAGTTGCATGACGTGCTTGCTTTCATTTGATAGGAGAGTGCATACGTTAATAGCAAAGTCCACTTCATTTGGGAGTCCAGATAACAGTGAAAGCACCAATTTATTATAATCATTTGGCGAATTAAAGTCCATGGACAGCCCATAACTTTGACGCAGATAATCTAACAAAGAAAAAAAATACCTTAAGTATATCAAAGATCAGATACCTTTATGGTGAATATCCCTTGAATACAGAACACAGCTTTAAATATATATATATAATATATATAAAATATAATATAAATATATATATATATAAAATATAAACTGATTAGAGGTTCAAAACGTTCAACTTTTAAAACTTCTTAGGTTTACTAATTAAAATTACATTCTTGAAAAGGTATTAAAATACCAAAATGTACATACCATTTGGCCATCATTGCCAAAATATTTTTGAATCAGTATTTTAATTGACCTAGCTGCACTTTTTTTATTTTCTGAGACATGTCTGGCTCTGTTGCCCAGGATGGAGTGCAATGTCGCTTTCATAGCTCACTGCAGCCTCAATCTCCCAAGCTCAAGTGATCCTCCCACCTCAGCCTCCTGAGTAGCTAGGACTACAGGAAGGCTCCACTATGCTCAACTAATTTTATTTTTAGTAGAGAGAGGTCTCCCTATGTTGCCCGGGCTGGTGTCTCAATCTACCGAGTTTATGCAATTCTCCGGCTGCGGCCTCCCAAAGTGCTGCATTACATGCATGAGCCCTGTGCCCAGACTAATCTACACTTCTTACTATTGCATTTCAATGGACTTCTTCCAAATTACTGCAATATCATTAACATAGTAAAACCCATGCTAATTTTAGTTCTACAATTCTAAGTTTTGACAGATGTATAGTTTTAATCATCACAGTCAAGATATAGAGTATCTCTATCACTACAAAAAGTTTCTCATGCTCAATTCCATCCCCTACCACTAGGTACTACAAATCAAATTTACTTTCCTATCATTTTATTTCAAAATGCCAAATAAGTGGAATCACACAATATAGTCTTTTGTTGTCTGGTTTCTTTTATTTAGCAAAATGCTCTTGAGATTCATATCCATGTTGATAAGTGCATCAGTAGTCCATACCTTTCTAAACACAGTTTGTTTATCCATTCCCTAGTTGAGGGACGTTTAGATTGTTTCCAATTATTGGTGAGTACTAATAAATCTCGCTAGAAACATAGACAGGATTTTGTCGGGACATATTTTTTTCATTTCTCTGGCATAAATACCTAGAAGTGGGATTGCTGAGTCACACATAAGTGTATCCTTAACTTTGTAACAAACTGTGAAACTGTTTTCCAAAGTGGCTGTAACATCTTGCATTTCCATCAGCAATATAAAGAGTTCCTATTGCTCTCCATCCTGGCCAGCACTTAATACTGTCAGTTCTAAATACTCTAAATGAGTCCTTTGTTTCATATTTGCTTTGCACATATTTTCTCCCTGTTAGTGGCTTATCTTTTCATTTTCTTAAGTGTCTTTAAACAGAAATTTTAATTTTGATGAAGTCTGAGTTACAAATATTTACTTTTATGGTTCATGCTTTTGTGCCTAAACCAAAGCAACTAAGATTTTCCACAGGAGAATTAATTTAAAACATTTACAAAACTTTGAAGATGGGATAAAACGGGCTTACAGAACACTAAGATACTATATAATCATAATTCACATATATAAAAAATGTTGTATTTTTAGAAATAACTGAATCCTAACGGGGCAGTTTAGACCTTGGCAACTATGTCCTGAGACAAATATCACAAGTACATTTTTTCAAATAAAGCTGTCACAAGTTTAAGGGAAAAGGCAAAAAACTAAAATTTAAACATTCAAGAATATTTCAGGCTGGGCATGGTGGCTCATGCCTATAATCCCAACACTTTGGGAGGCTGAGGAAGGAAGATCACATGAGGCCAGGAGTTCAAGACCAGCCTGTGCAATATAATGAGATGCTGTCTCTACCAAAAATTTAACATTTAGCTAGTTGTGGTGGTGTGTGCTGTAATCCTAGCTGTTTGGAAGGCTGAGCTGGGAGGATTGCTTGAGCCCAGGAGGTCCAGTTTCCAGTGAGCTTTGGTTAAGTCACTGCACTCCAGCCTGAGCGACGAAGTGAGACCTGTCTCTTAACAACAATAACAAAAGAATATTTCGGAAATATCTGAATATTTTTAAAAGTTAAAAACACACACACACACACACACACAATCTCTTTAAGTAGGATGCAAGTAGAAATCTACTGTCACAACATACCACAGAAGAATATCATGTAAGTAAAGAATTTCATTTCCAAATGCAGACAGTTGAAGAGATACACCTCTTCAATTCTAACCTATTCTAGCAGTGTCTCCAACATAATGAAGAAATTCCACAACACAGTTTTTAATGGCTATGACACAGATTGTTTACAATATTTAAAGCTTGACAATAAGAATATATTGTTCATTTTTGATAATCCTTATAAATGAAATTTCTCATAAGTAACATAAAATAAATATCTGGAGAAAAAGTAATGAAACTTCTATGAATATAGGAGCAGATTTTTATATTCTACACTGTAAACTGGACTGATGATAAGCCAAGTCTTAGCAATAATTAATTTACATTTTTATATTCCACATAGCTTTCAGGTAAATCTGAATAGAAAAAAATGTGGAACCCGTATTCCTTATCTGTCGCAGTCCTAAAGTTTATGTTTTCAATATGATCTTAGAATTGTGCTATTTCCTACTGTAAAATGACAGATATTCCATTCAATACATCCTTACCAGAATGACTCTGTCAAAGACATCTTCAATTAGAGTAAGATAAACATAACAATTATGAAATATCCTTTAATTATATTTAAACATTTAGTAGTAAAGTGATGATTTTAGGATCATTTTCAAGTTGCATGATGTGCTTGCTTTCATTTGACAGGAGACTGCATACATTAACAGCAAAGTCTGCTTCATTTGGGAGTTCAGATAACAGTGAAAGCACCAATTTATTATAATCATTTGGCGAATTAAAAATTCCTTGGTAAAGATTCCTAAGATAATTATGTAGGAGAAAATGCTTATAAAATTTTAAGATCCTCCTTTCATTCCCTCAAGGAGATATGGTTGAGTAGCTATAATTTTATAACTGGAATGAGGAGGGAAGTTTATTATTTTTTTGAGATGGAGTTTTGCTCTGTCGCCTAGGCTACTGGAGTGCTGTGGATTTCGGCTCACTATAACCTCCGCCTCCTGGGTTCAAGCAATTCTCCTGCCTCAGCCTCCTGAGTAGCTGGGATTACAGGCATGCGACACCACACCTGGCCAATTTTTGTATTTTTAGTAGAAACAGGGTTTCACCATGTTGGCCAGGCTGGTCTCAAACTCCTGACCTCAGGTGATCCACCAGCCTTGGTCTCTCAAAGTGCTGGAATTACAGGTGTGAGACACCGCGCCCGTCCATATTTTCAACATTCTTGATTCAAAATTTATACAAGTGGGTCACTACTGACAAATTTAATCTGAGGCAGTCACTTCTCTTTGTTTTCAATTTAGAAGAAAGGGAGAGTTGTTCCTGGAGTGCTGTTTATGTACACTGTAGAAATTCTACAATATATTCTATCCATCTATATTGGCAGTGATTGTTGTAGTCCAAATGTCTTGTTAGAATATGCAATGCTTAAAGAAAATCTTTACTCAAATATAGCTAATAAAAAATTTTTATATCTTCCTTCTTGAAACCGAAAATTTAAGTACCAAAAATGCAAATGGACCGGGTACTTGGCTTCACTTTATTAAAATGATTGAGTTGGATTAAATCATCATAATAATAATAATCCACCTAATAATTCTGCAGAAATGATTATATCCAATCAATACCAAGGAAAAAAACAGAGAAAGAAGGAAACTGAAGTATTAGGTATGTAATGTCAAAAACAGTATGAAAACCTATGCAAATGAATGATAAAAACCACCATGTACTTGATGCCAATGTTGAAGAATCTTAAAGCTTAAAGCAACAAAACCCACAATATTTTTTTTTGCCACTTAAAGTTATTGGCCAAAAGTAGTCAATATCCTCAAAGGCAAATTCAGGCCCACATTCTATCAGTGTACGATGTTCTATATTCTAGCACTACTGACCACTGAAATTTATTATACTACCATTCAAAATATTTTAGAACAGCTTTTCTTAATGTCAACAATAAAAGTATCTCTGGATAAATACATTTATTCAAAGCTACAAGGGGAATAAGGCTGTATGATCAAATATGTAAATACATATCTTCTCAAAGTTCTAAGTAAATTTCTTTAAATACTCTCAATCTAATATTAGATAATTTCATTTTGGTGGTTTTTTTTTTTTTTTTAGAACACATGCACGCACACACACACGGAGCTTATTCTATTTTCCTTAATAACACATTAAAAGAAAAATTAATGACTTATTTGCTTTATATATTGATAATCATGTCAATTTTTAGAATACTGTCATGATGTTGCTATGGCTCTTTCTAGAAAAACATAAAGTATAAATGCTGCCCTGAAATTCTACCCCTTTTCAGTATGAACTAGATATTCTGTAATCTGATGTTCCCCATCAGTTCCCAGTTTCTTCCTCTTCATGAATCTCCAATCCTGACTTCATTACACATGTTACACATAAAATGTAACTGTTCAGATTCTCTTAAAACAAATCACACATATAATAGCATATCAGAAAAGGGTTGTTTTAACAACAGGTTAAGCAATTCTATCACTCCTTTAACCTGTGTAGCTCTATCAGTAACTTTCATTATAGGCTTCCGAAATACCAAAAATATTTCACATGATCTTTCTCAAAGCAGATCAATAGAAAATGGGAAAAAACAGATTCAGGAAAAAAATCTATTTTAAACAAGACCAAACATAGAAAAGTGTTTGTTTGGGAACAGTAGTAGCGGACACCAAAGTCTGTTTAAGTTACAAGGATTAATAGCTCTGCTATTATTGTAATACAGGGATCACACAGAGTTGTAAGTTGAAAATGATCTTTAAAGGTCATTAGCACAACATCTCATTCGATGTAGGAGTATCTTTTTTAACATCCTTGAATTAGATAATGGTCATTAGCTCTTTTTAGAAACAAGGAGCACATCACCTAACAAGTCACCCCATTTTATCTTATCAGCATAAACTATTAGCAAGCATTTCTAAAGGTGACTTAAAATATTCTCCTTTACTCTTGGTTCTTGCAGTAAAAACTATTCATTAAAAACAAAGCTAGGTTTTGTTGGCACTCCCTGCTTCACCCCTACCCCAATTATACAAAAGCATCAGATGAAGCCTCTTCTAATGGAGATCGCAGATTCTAAAAGAAGATTCTATTTCTTCAGTCATTACTGATTAGGGAAGAAATATGAAGTCAAATTCAACTTTTAAGAAACTTTGAAAATAGATAATACGAAAAAAAAGTTGATGATACTGATGATAGTCCACAAATGAGACAGTATAAATCTAAGGATAACCTGTAAGAGTACAGAACTAGTACCAGTAAATAATAATAATGATAATAAATATTTAGAATAATTATAATTTTTATAAAGAACATAGCTTGAAAAACAAGTATCTCTTTTTTTTTTTAGGCCAAATGTTAGTGAGTGGAAAAACAAAGATGTGTATCTCCTTAGACCTCTCTTCCTAGTCATCACAGTCCTGACCTCCAGAGCCACTGAAAACTGGAGCCCGTCTACTCCACTCAAGAGAGTATCAACACTCGCGCTGATTTTTTTCCAACTTGATTTTTTTCAAGCTGTGGATTCCTCTATAACCATTACAAGCATGACAAGTGAAAAAAAAATCTTCCTGCTACCATGGCAGGAAAATAGAATAATCAGAAACATTTCTGAGAATTCTGATGCTGGAAATCCCATTAATGTTAGAAAATCTAATAGACTCTATAAGAAAATTCTTGGTCTCCTGAATCCTAACAGGATCTTCCTCTTCTTATTTTAGTGACTATTTAGGATAAACTGATCATTAGTTAGAGCAATAAGGAAAAATCATTACTTGGAAGTGAAAGTGTTTTATAACTAAAAATTCCTGCAACTAAAATTCTCAAGTAACCTGTGAGAGAAAGGGCTCTGATACCAATTAGATGTCAATCTTTGAAAGCTGCATTACCTTAAGGCCTTAAGTGTTCTCATGTGCAAAGGAAGGGACTAACTCATTGGATGATGTCTATTTTCCTAATTCAAAACTGCGGACATATATCCTGTTAATTTGCAGTGATATTTACCCGACACACTGTGTTGCTGGTAATTGTAGGAAGATGGAATTGCACCAATAGGAAGCTGTGGCTTTGGATTGCCTGGTGGTACCTCATCATCATCCTCCCCAAAATGATGAACTTTCTCGTACTTTTCTAGGTAACTGAAACAGAAAAACAGCACAGCAAACATTTAAAAATAGATTTATATCTTATTTTTAACTCTCACCACATATTTGTTTTCCTTTTCTAAACAATAATCTAAAAAAATTAATAAAAATACCATAAACCTCTTATATTAGAACAGTAACTCCAGTTTAGAGTAAGATAAACCGCAGATAAACTCAATGCAATGGTTCTTTTTTTTTTTTTTGAGACAGAGTCTCGCTCTGTCGCCCAGGCTGGAGTGCAGTGGTGCGATCTCAGCTCACTGCAAGCTCCGCCTCCAGGGATCACGCCATTCTCCTGCCTCAGCCTCCCAGGTAGCTGGGACTACAGGCGACTGCCACCACACCCGGCTAATTTTTTGTATTTTTTGTAGAGACGGGGTTTCACCGTGTTAGCTAGGATGGTCTCAATTTCCTGACCTCGTGACCCACCCACCTCGGCCTCCCAAAGTGCTGGGATTACAGGCATGAGCCACCGCGCCCGGCCTCAATGCAATGGTTCTAAAAGTATTTTTATATTTTCAGAAAAGACCATACCACTATTCAAATAACAATATAAAAATAGGGAATATCAGATGACAACTACATGTAGATGAATAGTACCTTTATTTATTTGTAAAAATTATACATGGTCATTATAAAAACAATATGAAAATTAGAAGATTCTGTAACCCTTGACCTCTACAAATTCACTTATCAGCAATAACAACAGGTTCATGTGCAAACCTGAGTATATTTTCTGAGAATATCTTTATTTAATAATATATTTTAGAGGTCTAAATATACCAATACATACTGCACTACCTCATTCTTTTGTAACATTCTTTTGTATAGCATTTGATCCTATTGATACATTATAAATTTAAATAGTTCTCTAGCAATACATTTAGGGTATTTTCAGTTTTGTTTTTTGGTAATAAACTTAATCTGTACACTTGTTTGAATATTTTCTCTTGATATTAGAAAGGTATGATCATTTTAAACATCAATATAGCCAAACTGCAATCCAAAAGTACTATGCCTAATACATTTTGACCAATTTATAAGACAGTGTATCCCCCCACTGTATCACCATTACTGAGTATAATCAATCTTAATATTAACTAGGATTGAATTTTCAAATTCATAATACCTCATCATCTACCAGTTTATAGTAAGATTTCCAAGTAAGATGTGATTTTAAAACAGGGAAACAACTGGTCGAAACCATGTCAAACACAACACTATTCTAACATAGCTGTTACTATGCTTCACAGATAAGAAGTTAAACTGATTGATATATAATGACTTACATTTACCAAAGAAAAGTTCTACATGTGATTATTTTACAGATCAATCCTTCTACCATTCCTGATCTAGGCAGGTGCTTAGTCCATTTGGAGCTACTTAAAAGCTTGGCAGCTACCTACCCTCTGCTTTTTTAAGACAGCTGAGGTAAGGGAGGTGGGTATCAATGAACATGTAAGAGTATCCTGGAAGTATTATTTTTAGTACCAAACCTTAAATTTCAAAGAGGGATGAATGGAAGCTATAATTTTATAAATATAAAAACTAATGACATGAAAAATCATTATCATTCCTCATTTTCCCCTTCCAGCTTTACAAGACACAATAATTCACATCCTTGAACCTGGAAAAGAATTAAACTGTCCCTTTCCATTACTTCCAAGTTCCCCACATAAGCCTAATTTGAGCAAGAAACTCTTTCCTAGCAGGTAGCTTGATAGATAATGAATCCAATATTTTTCTTTATGGTTGTAGATAAAACATACTGAAGCAGAGACATATACACAGATATAATCCTTGAGCATTGAAAATGGTAGGCAAGTGTACACATTTCAACCTGACTCTGAGTATGTCCCTTGCAGACAGAATTTACAGTCTAAGAACACAAAACAGAACAAAAAGATGATTAAGAAGGGGCAGTCATTCTCTAGCATAAACCCACAACAAACTTAAGTAGGTAAATGAATCAAGCTCATTCTTTTTAAATTGCTAAAGCAGGTATCACAGAAAGAAAAATATATATAAATGTAGACATAAAAAGTACACTGGAAAAACAGGTGCTCAAAATTTATGTGGCATCTTTACTGCAAATGAAGGATAATATATGTCACACAAAATCACTTGGATATAATAGTATTCATAAAGGTATTTTACATAGTACAATCTTTTAGAATTGTTTGAACTCATTGTGGAATGGTTAAAACAGACTACAGATAAATAATCTTTATAAAATAATTGTTATCTAATCAAAATAACAATGAAGACCATTAAATAACAGGTTTAGGATGCTCTTCATAAGTTGTTATCATTTAGTACAGTAGATTTAAAATTTACGTGTTTTTTAGGGTGGGTGCAGTGGCTCACGCCTGTAATCCCAGCACTTTGGGAGGTGAGGTGGGAGTATCTCTTGAGGCCAAGAGTTCGAGGCCAGCATGGCCAACACAGCAAAACGCCATCTCTACTAAGAAATACAAAAATTAGCTGGATGTGGTGGCGCACGCCTGTAATCCCAGCTACTCAGGTGGCTGAAGTACAAGAATTGTTTGAATCTGGGAGGCCGAGGTTACAGTGAGCCAAGATTGTGCCACTGCACTCCAGCTGCCTGGACGATAGGGCAAAACTTCGTCTCAACACACACACACACACATACACACACACACACACACACACACGCACGCAAACACACATTTTTAATAACGGCCGGGAGAGAAAGCAACATTGTTAGTAAAGAAAGGCTATAAACAGGAACTCGTCCCTCCCAGAACACCCAAAATGGAACGTAAGAGATGTGGAGTGAACTGACAACACTATATACTCATAATAAACCATATATATTATATATATAAAACCCCATATAATTCAAAGTTTCATTAGGTTTTAAAAATACATCATTTCTGGTCCCTTGTAATAGTCTAACAGTATTCTTCCAAACAGATTCTTTGCACAATTCCAATCCCCAGAAATTTATGATTTAGGCTGTTATGATTTTGAAATTTTTATTTCCCTGGCTTGAAGACCAGTACTTGTTCTCACTGCCATTATTAAATATTTCCAACTGAGATGCAAAAAGATTTTGGCACCCTCTCAATAAATAAGCACAAGGTCAGTTTGTTTGGTTTTTCAGTTATACTTCTAAAAACTAAAAAGTATTAACAAACCAGAGAACACAGCTAAAACACAAAGTTACATTTCAAAGTGCAAGTGTTCTGATTTAATTCCCTAACATGACCTTGAGTTTACATATCAACAGATCTACTGTGTTCACCCATTAAACTACAAATGCTAGACTGCACATCTTTCTCCTCAAAAATCGATGACATAACTTTGAACAGTTAACATATTATTCAAACAAATATTTGCTGAGCTCCTATAGTAATCTGCCTAGTACATTACATATTTAACTCAAAACTAGTGAAATATTGTAATCCAGAAAGCTTAAATGTGACCAATATAATGGGGGAAAAAGAGTTCATTCAAAACAGCATCAAATAATATCAGCACTATTACAGTGACTTTGGGGAAATTTAATGTATCTCTTACAATATCTGACAGATTAAGTAGACAAAGAAATAAATTAGGTTACAGAAGACTTGAATATCATCACCAAGATGGTATTGGACACATAATGACTTCCTTTTAGAATCTTAATGGAAATTTTAAAACTGATCATGTATCAATTCACACAGAAAACTACAATAAATTTAAGATTATATGTTATATAGGGCACATTTTCTAACCACAATGCAATTCAAGAAATTTTTTTCTTAGAAGAAATCAAATTCTTGTAAAATTAGAACTAATTTTTTCTTATGTGAAATTCCAAACCCATAGGCAAAACTATAAAGACTAGCACAATAGTATCTATCAATAGATATCAATTTATGGTCAATCTTGTTTTATCACAACCACAGTTACCCATCTTGACAACCAAATCTCTCTCAGATTTTTTTAAAGCAATTCTCAGATATCATATAACCTCATCTGTAAATATTTTGGTAGAATACTTATAAACTGAAACAATAACCACCACCACTACCAATCAAGAAAACTCTTGACTATTCTTGGATCAAGGAAAAAAAATTAACTCTGTATGACAGAAACACTTCCATATTAACAAAACCTTTTGAAATGTTACAAAAAAAGATGATAGGGCAAGGACTCATATTCACTTCTCCCTTTAAATCCAATTACAATAAACTTTAGAGAGAAAAATAAAGAGGTATTAGCATAATTTCTCAGTTAAAAACTTTCATAAATTCTGATACATTTAAAGCAACTTCAAGGATTCACAAGGCCAACTTACAAAACACATCTTGAGAAAGTAATATGGTCTGGTGGATCCTAGGCCCAAACACTTAAAAAGGCAAGTTCAATTTGGATTTCCCTTAGCTCCTGAGGAGCTACAGAAAGTGATGGTGTGTTTCAAAAGGGGACCCAGAGAGTAACAACTATTTTTTAAAAGATTTATTGAAAGTTGGGTTGAAATAGTTGGTTTTCCAAGAAAGCAAGGTCCTTTATAAACTTCAACTTGTAACTTCTTTGTCAAAATGAGTCCAAAGACCAAGGGGATGTGAAGCAACTATGAGAAGCACCAGCACGGAATGACTGGTGTCATCCGGTGACAGGGACCTACACTGATGTGATAACTTCAAGATGAAAACACTAGGCAAAAAAATCCAGTACAGTAGCTTGGAAACCATAAAAATAATAAAGTTTCTCTTCCAGGATTTCCAAAAGAGAGAGAAAAACAGAGAGATATGAGAGAGCATTAAAGAGTAAATTTGACAATGTAGATCACATCGGTAATGTACAAAGTAAGCCTGAGAAACTGTTCTATATGGAAAGGAAATAAACTAATGGAAATAAGTGGTGGACAAAAATGAAAGATATGTATGATAAATAAAAGCTCAAACACAGAAAAAATTTTAAAACCAGTAGTCCTATAGGAGAGACCGGAATAAATGAAACAGAAGCAATAATCATTGATGTAATAGAAGAATGTCTTTAACTGAAAGGCATGAAAGGATGTAAACATCAAAAAGTTCCCTGGGGCTAGGGTGTCCGGGTACATGGGTCACCAGGCAAAATGTAAAGAAAATTGAAAAATACTCAGATACATCTTGATCAAAGATTTAAGCTTCAAAAATAGAGAAGATTCTTAGAACTATCCAGAACCACCATCTCGCCCCCACCAAAAAAAAAAAATTACACAGAACATTTGAATCAGGCTCTGATTTCTCTCCAAAAATTAATTGCCAGAAGATAATGAACAGAGTTTGAGAAGAAAGGTTATTTCACAGGAGTTTCCTACCCAATTATGTTTCTCACCTAAGACAACAGAAATTCATTTTCAGATATGCAGACTCAGAAAGAATAAAGCCACATGGCTCTCTAGACAAAAACAAACAAACAAACAGTCTGATAGATGAAACAAAATTAAGAAATGGTTAGAAACACAGAACAGAATGGTGATTACCAAGGGGGAAAGTGGTAGGGGAAAAAGGGAGATGCTGGTCAATGGGTACAAACATTCAGCTACAATATGAATAAGTTCAGAAGATCTAATATACAGGATGGGGATTTTAGGTAACAATACTGAATTATATACTTTATTTGAAATTTGCTTAGATGTTCTCACCACAAAACAAAAAGGGTAACTAGGTAAGGTGATAGATGTGTTAAACTAACTTAACTGTGGTAATCATTTCACAAAACATGTATACCAAACCATCATGTTGTACACCTTAAAATCATACAATTTTATTAGTCAATTGTACCTCAATAAAGCTGGAAAATTTTTTAAAATGTCGGAATGGTTAGGTAGCAATACAGATGACTAATAATAGGTACAGAAAGTAAACTCAGATATTAGTCTCAATAATAACCATTATATATACACAAGAGAAAGCAATTGTGATTGGTAATTAAGAATATAAAGATATAAAACTATTAAAATAATTTGAAAACAATACTCCTCATCTGAATTTTCAAGAACTTTTCCACATAAATGGGAGAAGAAAACTAGTAAGAATTAAAGCTCTACTCTGTATGTTACTTGTATAGGAAGACTGAACAAAAGGTTTATTCTCACAGTTAATATTAAGGTAAATAGGTTATCAGCTGTTTTCTAATTTTTTTCAAGTGCCTAACACAAAAATTAAAGTCAGGATCATTACTTTCAAAATCACCATAGGGAAATAAAAATGACAGCAAATATAAATATACAGAAAAAAGGAGAAAATAAAGACTATCCTATCATGCAGCAAATCCACTCTGAGGCATACACCCTAAAATAAAACCAACTGGAAACAACACAAACATCCATAAAGGAAAGCATAGATAAAAATACTGTGGCATATTGAGGCAATAAAATACTATATGGCAGTAAAAATTAACAAACTGAAATGGACCCATACAAACAGCCATCAACAACAAAATGGTAAGTAAAAGAAAATCATTTCAGAAGAATACATTATAATTCCACTTATATGAAGATCATAAGCATGCAAAAAATCGAATATATTTGTAGCAACAGACAAGTATGTAGTAAGTGACAAAGAAAAGCAACATAATGATTATCACCTAGAGGACAAGCTAAAGTCTGCCATTCTACAGAGGCTTCAAAGGTATTAGTAAGGTTAAATTTTTTGGAGGTGGGGGTTTAGATGATGTATTAAGCTTTTTTGTGTGTGCATGATATATTTCACAATTTAAAAATTTTTTTAACATCAAAAAACCAGTAGTCAATTATTTCAAACTTTCCAAGAACAGACATTTCCATTGCTATGTAAAATGTTTCCAACTATAGAAAAAGATTGGAAGCTATGCTGAAAATCGTAATCCAGTAAAACCCTGATAAACTTCATAAAAGTTGCAGTTAAAAAAAAGACTACATACAGACACACACACACACACACACGCACACACACGCACACACTAGAAAAACTAATTTACTCATTAAACACAACCACCACAACCCAAGACTATAAGATTTTATTGTGGAAGTCCAGTGATAGTTCAATATTGAAAATTTCATAACAATTAAACTCATCTGTAGATCAAAGAAAAATGACATTATGTAAACAAAGGATGCCAAAGGGAATTTAATAAAATGAAGCCGCATGCTTTGCTGGAAAAAAAATTTAATTAATGAAGAATCTCAGAATACTTCTACTTTTGGATCTCTCCTATGACTCCTTTGTTGTGCAATTCAGAGAATTTCCAATGTAACTCCTTTTTCCAGTACAGGCCTTCTCAGGACTTCACAAGCCAACTTCAGCCACAACAGTACTTGCTTCTGTAGAAGAAATGTCCTTCAAAGTGGGGCACACACATAAGATACTCCAATAGGGAAAGACATTTAATTTATGCATTGACACTGTCTCCTCTCTCCCTCTCTTCATATATCAGGCACTCCATATGTTACTCATCCTACTTCAGACAAAGTGGAATGCATAAGAGAGGAACCGTCACTCATTTGTTAGCTTTTGACAAGTGGAACCTTTACTCATTCGTTATTTTCTATTTACTAATGTCTGCGTGTGTCTAGGTTAAGTCAACTTAAAGATGTATTATCTAACTTTAATTAAACCATCTCTCACAAAAAGGACAACTAAATTTAATAGATTCCTCCAAAGAAACCAGTTTGAATAATGCAAACAAAACTAAACAATAAAGTGGCAGAGTAGACGCTTCTCACCTGAACCTATTGTCAACCATACTATGCAATAAAAACAATGAAAATGCAATAAGATATGAAAGAAGTAGGCCAAAAGATTTCTATATTACCAAAAGAAGATCTAAACTATAAATTTACATGCCCCCACAATGATTAACCTTGTCCTAGGTTAATGCTGTACTTTTTGTTACGTGATGCTTTGCAATATGCTTACAACTAAGTATCCAGAATTTGAAGTACTTTGTTAAAGTTTAAAATGAAATATTATTTCAAGCAAGGATACTGATAAATATTTACCAGTCATTTCAGAAGCTAACTTCTGTATCACTGAAGACAAATGTTTTCATTTTCTCATGATAAAAGTGGCTAAATTAATACATGGAAGATATGGCAAAAAAAATACTGTTGGAAAATGATAAGAAAACACTACTGAAGAGTTGAAGAAACAAGGATTAGAGCAAATTACACTGTGTGGGAGGTTTCTATATAGCTGAATTCAAGTACAGATGTTTCTAACATGTCTGAGCTTATGGTATTTACTAGATTCTCTTTCAAAAACAAAATTCACAAAGAACTACTTTTTAGTGAGTCATTAAAGGAAAGCTCTAACATGGAAGATATGTTCTCATAAGCAAATAATTTTTTTTTAGAAAAAAAGACTTTCAGAAAAACATGTTAATTCTACTTAAAGCCACAATGAATAAGCAGGTGCTTTAATTGGAAAAGAAAAGAAAATGAGGGGAGAGGATAGCGGGAAAAGAAAAGGAAAAAGGAAGGGGAAAAGAAGGGAAGATTACGGGGTAAGATTAGACATGTGAAAATCATTTATTATGTCATTCACAGGCAGACGAACGTGGCAAAGAAGTTGAAAGTCGGCAATGCCAAAAGTGTTACAAGATGATTTCAATGTAGTAAACAAGGTTTTAGACATACAGCAAAATTTACTTTGTGACTTTTATGATCACATAATGAATTGACTCACGAAAAAAAATTTTTTTTTCTTTACCACACAGTGTTTCTTGGTGGTGTAAGTACTCTTGAAGCTTATTTATAAGTGATGCCAATCTTGAGAAGAGTTATATGCCTTACTTCTCAAAAGCCCAACTTTACTAACTTTCCTGTGATAACATTAGATGATGAGCAATATCTTACCTAGCAGATAATTTAGAAAACAAGGCAATAAAGACAATCTACCCGTTACAATAAAGGTGAAATTCTAACAATAAATAGAAAGTAATTACTTTTAAAAGAAATTCACGCAATATGGAACATTTTTTAAAGGGTGTTTTTTAAAAAGTATTTTCTCTCTACCATGTGCCTTTGTGACTGAAAATACTGTGCAAATGTCACATATTAAAACTCTTTGGCAGGCACAGTGGTTCATGCCTATAATTCCAACACTTTGGGAGGCCGGGT
Source organism: Homo sapiens (assembly GCF_000001405.40). Lineage (NCBI taxonomy): Eukaryota > Metazoa > Chordata > Mammalia > Primates > Hominidae > Homo > Homo sapiens. Next base: position 45,802,314 of record NC_000012.12, on the reverse strand, counting down.
GTGAGGATCACCTGAGCCCAAGAGTTTTGAGACCAGCCTGGGCAACCATAGTGAGACTCCAACTCTACAAAAAATAAAAAATTAGCCAAGAGTGGTGGTGCACGCCTGTAGTCCTAGCTACTGGGAAGGATGAGGTAAGAGGATCACTTAAGCCCGGAAGGTTGAGGATGCAGTGAGCTGTGATTGTGCCACTGCACTCCAGCCTTGGCAACAGAGAGAGACCCTGTCGTCTCGGGGGTGGGTGGGGGTGGGGGAGCCAAACGAAAAACAAAACTCTTATATCTACACTGAGCCAGAAAAAAGGATTTTCCAAATAATTTAAAAACCTCCCTTAAGTTTCTGTAGGCTTGAACCCTTTAAAAACAACTTTTATACTGATACAGATTCATACTTTAAAGTTACAACAATATTCAAAGAATTCATTTATCCTTCATCCAGATCCAGATACACCAATTGTTTATATGTTGCTTCATTTACCTTATCCTATTCTCATTCTTTCTCTCTCTCTCTGTCCCCCACCCCCCAATACACACATTTTTTGTGTGTGAACCACTTAAAAACAAGTGGTTTCTCCTTGTTTTTCATGACCTTGACATCTTTCAAGAGTATAGGGTGGCGATTTTGCAGAATGTCCTGCAATTCGGGTTTATTTGATATGTCTTAATAATTAAATTAGACACAGAGAATGTATTTTTTGAAGGAATACTACAGATGTGAATTGTTACCCTAGTGTATATATTAAGAGGCACATCATGTCTATTTGTCTCACAGTTGGCGCTTTTACTTTGATTACTTTGTTGTTAAGGTTGGGATTGCTAGGTTATCACACTATGAAGTTATCCTTTTCCTTTTAGAAATTACTAATTTACAGAAAAACACTTTAAGTCTAAATATCCTGTTCCTTTTCAACCTTGTACCTGCTAGTTTTAGCATCCATTGATTCTCGACTAAGTCACTGTGAAAGTAATTTTTCTTTTTTTACTTTTTTTTTTTTTCTTTTTTTGAGACGGAGTCTCACTCTTTTGCCCAGGCCGGACTGCAGTGGCGCTATCTCGGCTCACTGCAAACTCCACCTCCCGGGTTCACGCCATTCTCCTGCCTCAGCCTACCAAGTAGCTGCGACTACGGGCGCCTACCACCGCGCGTGGCTAATTTTTTGTATTTTTAGTAGAGATGAGGTTTCACCATGTTAGCCAGGATGGTCTCGATCTCCTGACCTCGTGATCCGCCCACCTCAGCCTCCCAAAGCGCTGGGATTACAGGCGTGAGAAAGTAATTTTTCTAACTCCATTATTCCTTCAACATTTATTAGTTGGCATTCGACTGTGAGTACTTTCCATCCTCTCTCGTTTATTTACTCATTATTTATACTACCATGGATTCAGAGAGTCTCCTCTTACTTCATGGGTATTACATTCCTATCGTTATTCAGTCAAATGCTCAAGTTATCCTAGATTTGGCATCTGTATCCTTTAGACAGTGTCCCAGATTTGGCCACTGGGATCCCTTTCAAGCTGGCTCCTATGTACTTTTGATGTGTCCTTATCATTTTTTTTAGCAGTTTCTTACTTTATATTTATAGCACAATAAGATATTCCAGGCTTATCTCGTATTTTCCCTGCTTCAGCCCTAGAATCCCTCTTTCTCCCCAATAAACACTGCTTTTCAGTGATGAATGGTATTTAGAAACCAATTATCTGGACACTAGGTGTGCTCAATGCTTAAAGAGGTATCTTTATTTCTAGGACCTTCCATTATACAAAACTAAGAAATATAAACAAATGCATGCACACGTTTATAAATTTCTTTATCTCTAAAAGGATAAAATCATAGCAACATCTCTAATATCAATTCAACATCACAGTTATCTCTTTTCATATTTTAAACTTTTTTCTCCAGTACTGAGAAATCTGGCTCATGTTATTCTCAATAAAATTGCACATTTGCTCAATCCTAAAGTAAACAAACCTAGAATTTAATATGAATTTTACAGTTCTTTGTGTCTTCAGATAAATGGTATAGTATTTGAACTACTAATTCACTTGTTTCTGTTTTTATTCCATTTTTGGTTTACTCTGCCACGTTATTGTATCTATTTAATTTTATTATTACTTATATTTTTTGTTAACTATCTATGAGTCTATTTTCAGTACGAAAATTAAATTTTCTGGGCACAGAGGCTCACACCTGTAATCCCATCACTTTGGGAAGCTGAGGTGGGTGAACTGCATGATCCCAGGAGTTCGAGACTGCCTGGCCAACATAGTGAGACCCCCATCTCTACATAAAATTTAAAAATTGGCTAGGTGTGGTGGCACACACCTGTTGTCCCAGCTACTCGGAGGGCTAAGGTGGGAGAATCACTTGAGCCTGGGAAGTAGAAGATGCAGTGATCCATCATTGCGCTACCACACTCCAGGCTGGGCAACAAACTGAGACCTTGTCTGAAGGGGAAAAAAAAGAAAATAAAACTAAATTTATGGGTTTTAGCTAAAGTCATGATGGGGTAATTTATGTAATGTGTTGCTTTGTTCTTTCATTTTGTTTTCTATATCTTTTGGTATTTAGTAAAATCTGTGTTTTTGTTATATTGATTACCTTGGTACTTACACATTTGCAATGCCTTAACCCATTCTCTTATTTTGTCATCTGGCATGTCAACTTTCAGTAGTATCTTTTGACTCCCAACTATTGCTTTTATAACAACAAAGGTTTATTGTATTTTCCTCTTTACTTCTTCCTTTATAGTTGCATTATTTCTACTTTGTAAAGATATAACAGATTTACATATTACACTGACCCAAATTTTGCAAGAAAAATTGATGGGCAAGATGAAAATAAATAAATTTCAACAAAAAAAATGTGCACCACTGACAGATGGGATTTTAAAATAAGGGATCATGATTTATTAAGTGTACATAATGATGCATTTGTTCCATGTTCATCCATGTATTGTTCTTCCACTGAGGAAAAGCAAGTATCAAAATAAACTGAATCTAAAAACAAACCTTCCAATCAATGCATGACAAACTATTAAAGTGATTTAAAGCCTACTACAATTCATTCAACAAATACTTATTAAGCACTTACTATGTGCCAGACATTGTTTCATATGCTCAGAATACTGTGTAAACAAAGCAGACACATATTGCTATCCCCATGAGGCTAACAGTCTCATGGGGAGAGACAAACAATAAGAATAATAAAATACTTTTTTAAAAAATTATAAAAGCTTTTTATGTGGTTAAAATAAAATTTTAAATAGAATTTATTTCACTTTATTAAAAACTTACTTCTTGTATATTTTTATTTTAATACCCAGGTTAATATATTAGGGAGAGTACCTCAATTTTTCACTTAATTATAAGTATATAATTATACTTATATGTAATTATAAGAATATAATTACAGTCTGAAGAAAAGAGATTTCTAGAGGAAAACACTAAGAGTTTCTGGATTTAAAGCTGGATGGAAGAAGTAACTTATGAGCCTTTGGGTTGTCTCCCCTTAGAGAATGAATAAAGTATTTACAGGTATAAGTAGAACCATTACAATTTACTACGTTGAAGAGCTCTTATATTGTTTACTTCAAATGTTTGTATGAGAAGAAGGGTTGCATATAGATATTAAGCAACCAAAAATGATAACTGTATTGCTTGTTTGTTGATATCCCACATTCAAGTACCTTACTTTTAGAAGAACTTGCTTAACTGATGGGCATTAGAGTCTGGCTTAAACTATAAATCCTAAAAGCTTGAAAAAGCCTACTCTCCACTTCCAGGCAGCTAAAGCATGAACAGATAACACCCTTGTCCAGATGGATTCTCCTGCCTGAAATTTTGAATTTTTAGGGAAGAACAAACATAGGTTATTCAAAGCAGTGGCAGTAGGAGGTGAGAGACTAATTCCTGGTTTTCCAGATTTCCTGTAAATATCTCTTCTGAAATTAGCCAAGACTGATTTACATTGTTTGTAACTTGTCACAGTCTATGACACAATAAATTCCACTTCGAGAAATTTATCCTACATTGCATGTTAGCAAAGAATAGGATAAGGATGTAGAATATTACGGTAGTTTTTGACAAAAAAATACTGGAAAAAAAAAACACGTTCAAACAATAATAAACTATTGTTTTAGATTCTTAAGTTGGATTAGTATATAGCTGTAAAAAGTGAGAAAATTAGTTAGATCTGTATTTGGTGACACATAGTAAAAAAGGGTACAGAGCAACTGTGTATATGGTGTATTTCTATCTAGGTAATAAAAAGAAGATTAGCTATATGCTTGCAAATGAACCATATATTTTTAGAATGAAATAAAGAAACTATAATAGCAGTTAGCCTCATAGTAGAGACTTTCCCATCCTTTACATTATTTATTTTCTTTTTAAGAATGTGCTTGATGACTTTTCAATAAAAAGATCAAATTAAAAAATAATATATTAAAAGATACAATATTTAAAACAAAATGAAGAGCTGAATCAATAATTCTCTGATATAAAAAGCTAGTATTTCATATACACGTGAAGAAAGAATAGCATTTTCAATAATTAATTCTGCGATAAATCATTAGTGCAAAACAAAAAAAATTAATTTTTTTTACCTCATGCCATACTAAGCAAATTCCAGGTGAGTAAGAAATTTAAATGTAAAATTTTTAAAAAAGAAGAAAATGTGTCAATATATTTATAATATTAAAGAGCAAGGAAGGCTCTTCTTAGCATGAGAAATCATTATCTCCAAGAAAGACTAAGATATTTATCTCATTAAAATTTAAAAACGGCTGGGAGTGGTGGCTCACAACTGTAATGCCAGCACTTTGGGAGGCCAAGGCAGGTGGATCACCTGAGATCAGGAGTTCAAGACCAGCCTAGCCAACATGGCGAAACCCATCTCTACTAAAAATATAAAAATTAGCTGGGCATGGTGGTGCACACCTGTAATCTCAGCTACTCAGGAGGCTGAGGCAGGAGAATCACTTGAATCCAGGAGGCAGAGGTTGCAGTGAGCCGAGATCACGCCACTGCACTCCAGCCTGGACCACAGAGTGAGGCTCAGTGTCAAGAAATAAACAAATAATAAAAATAAAATAAAATTTAAAAACTTAGGCAAAGTATAACACAATACTAAATGATAAACAATAGCCTAGAAAACTATGTGTTTGTGTGTGTATGTATGTATATTAAATTACTTTAAATCATTATAAAAAGGATTGATATTATAATTTTTAAAATGAGCAATGACATGATTTTTTAAAACAAAGTAATATTTGATGCACACGAGAAACACAGATGTAAAATGTGAAATGTGTTTGAAAAACTATAATATCCAGTTTTGGCAAAGGTTTAGGTAAACAGAAACTCATACAGAGAGTAGAAATACATAGTGTTATATCGGTTCTGAAGGATAATTTAACAATATTCTCTATAAAAGCATTAAAAACATGAGTATCATTTGATCTCAGAGATCTTTCTCCTACCAAATAACACTTAGAAAATAAACATGTTGGCCAGGCGCAATGGTTCACATCAGTATTCACTCTGGGAGGCCAAGGTGGGCAGATCACTTAAGGTTAGGAGTTCGAGACCAGCCTGGCCAATGTGGTAAACCCCATCTTTACTAAAATCACAAAAATTAGCTGGGCATGGTGGCATGTGCCTGTAATCCCAGCTACTCTGGAGACTAAAGCAGGCGAACTGCTTGAACCCAGGAGGCGGAGGTTGCAGTGAGCCGAGATTGCACTACTGCACTCCAGCCTGGACGACAGAGCAATACTTCATCTCCAAAATAAAATAAAATAAAATAAAATAAACATGTTATTCACAGATTCATTCAAAGACATCGTTATAGATTTATATATAGATGACATATAGTTTCAAAGATTTACCAAAAAAACTCAAACTGTCACTGCTTATAAGGAAGAAAAACAACCTAACTATCCAACAGGGAACTACTATACTAAGTTTTTATGCAAGAAAAGTCCATGTGGCCCGTAAAAATAGTGGTGTAAAAGAATACTTAATAACATGTAAAAATATTTTAGATACTATGTAAAAATTAGAAAAAAATCATACAGTATGATTCTATTTAAATATTTGTAAGTGAATATATGTAAAATATATATTAAAAATTTTTGAATTTTATCAAGGAAAAAGGAGTAAACAGAAGTTATTCCTTCTGAGTTCTGAATAAGGAGAAAAACTTAGTTAAGATATAAATCATTTTTTAAGTGGTAGAGAAAGTGGTTTAAAAAAAGAAATCTAAATGTCAGTTTCTATTTTCTTAGTACATTAGAAAGATATCTAAAACGAGTACAGTAGACAGGAGCGGAGACCAGGGAATTTAAACAAATAACAAATCTTTAAAACAGCTTTTCTAGGAATAAAAGAGAGGGGATGTGGTCATTTATTGAGGCAGTAGTAGTGTTATATAGGAAAAGAGCCTTTAATTTGGAAAAAAGAGGATGGAGGAGACAGGAAGTGGGGAGCAAAGGCAAGTAAAGGAAAAGGAGGGATATAAAGAAAAGAAAATAAAGAAGAGAAGAACAAACAAGATAGGAGGAAAAGAAAAGAACAGAGAGGCCAGGCGCGGGGGCTCACGCCTATAATCCCAGCACTTTGGGAGGCCAAGGCGGGCGGATCACGAGGTCAGGAGATCGAGACCATCCTGGCTAACACAGTGAAACCCCGTCTCTAGTAAAAAATACAAAAAAAAATTAACCAGGCGTGGTGGCGGGCGCCTGTAGTCCCAGCTACTCAGGAGGCTGAGGCAGGAGAATGGCGTGAACCCGGGAGGCGGAGCTTTGCAGTGAGCCGAGATCGCACCACTGCACTCCAGCCTGGGCGACAGAGCGAGACTCCGTCTAAAAAAAAAATAAAAAAGAAAAAGAAAAGGAAGACGGAGGAAGAAAGCAGAGCAGAGTACCACAAGAAAAAACTGATACTATAAGAGAGTTATCATAAAATATCCAGAGGCTCCTGTGGCGTAGTATCATCAGCCAGAAAGTAGCAACCTCATGAGAACAGGAGTAGACTTGAGGTGATTGTACAATGGGTAGAAATGATCCCCTACAGGGTCAATGTTCTAGATGGGACTTTGATACTGGCACATGGAGGGTGCAAAAGATATAATACACTCCCATACTAAATATCACCCTTCATAAATATCTGAATTTATTTCTAAAATTATTATAAAACATAAAATGTATTTATATTTCTTGAATAATCTAAGAACTCTTCCATGTTTAAAAAAAAAACCTTGCAGAATATAAAAATTCCACACACAAAAAACGACAGGAGTGGAAAATTACAAGATAGTATGTTTTAGAGTGAAATGGAAAAAAGAAAGAAACTTGTGGGGAAAGTGCCCTGGAAACCTGAGGGGGCTGGGGGCATAAAGTATTACCATGCTAAGTTACTCAAGACAAAAATAATAGCTAAGTAGACAGAATATTAGAAAATTCTTTTTCAGAGTCAGTTCTACCACATAATTTATAAATTAGATTCATTATTTAATAACCACACTTTGTTTTCTGACCTCAGACAGTAAAACTGAATGCTCTGGCCAAATGAAAAAGAAAAATCTGTTACCATCGGGGAAGCTAGGGTTGTTTAACCAATTAAAGTACGCAAGACGAATGCCCTCTACCATTAGGGTAACACCATTACAAAAAAGAACACACCGGGAGCTATCCCTGGTGCTGCAATTAGCCCTAACTACTGGAGACCTGACCTAAAGACTAGTTTTCCTAACGCTGAGTCCAGGTCTACTCCTCCTATGATGACCTATTTGTCTGAATCTCACTAGTCTTATTTCAGCAAATTATACACTTACCTGTGCCTCCATAAGTGTATCCCTTCAAAATTTATTAGAAATTGCATGAAATAAAGAGATAGAGCAAAGGGTTCCAATGTAGGTCATTTATGCAAGATGTTTTCTTCATATTTTCCAATAATTTTTGAAAATTAATAACAAGAAAAAATCATACGCTGAGGTTGCTCAGCTCTATGGAAAGAACAAATATTCCATCCCTAAAATTGTGAAGAAGGAAAAATAAACTGCTAGTCTTGCTGTTGCACCTCAAACTGCAAACATTATGTCCACAGTGTGTGGTAAGTGCTTAGTTAAGAGAGAAAAGGCATTAAGTGTATGGGTGGAAGATGAACAGAAACGTGTTCTGATTGACGGCAACTGGGTTCCATATTACCTGCAGTTTCAGGTATCTACTGGGGGTCTTGGAACATACCCTCGAAGGGGGACTTCCATAAAAACACACTCAAAACTGCTCCAGATGCTGAAATTACCAAACACAGATTAAAACCCCAGGCAAGATTTTAAAAATTCATAACTGCTTACAACATAGTTTCAAAAACCAAAGACAAAAACAATTATTAAAGGTAGTCAGAGGAAAAAGAAGACATTTGCTTCAAAAAGGAAAGAATAGAAAAAATAAAAATATTTCCTAAAAAAAAGAAATGACTTTTTTTTTTAAAACCAGCAGACCTGCACTAAAAGATTAAGTTTCTAAATGGAGGTATGGAGATGTAATAAAAAGCCAAGAAAAAAAAAGTGTATATATATATATGTAGAATATCTTGCTGAGATATATATGTGTGTGTGTGTGTATATATAAATATGTAGAATATCTTGCTGAGATATATATGTATATATATTGTCCTCTGGGATTTAAATATAGACAATAGAAATATACAATGCTTATGACATATATAGCATATATATATAATACATATACACACACACACACACACACAGTTACATAAAGGCAGTTATATATATAAAGTACTCTAAGGTCTTTCAATTAGGTCTTTCAATTTATGGGAAAGGGATAAAAGC